>NC_000007.14:115537082-115840112 GCF_000001405.40 Homo sapiens | reverse complement strand
ACCATAAGTTACTACTACAGTAGAAGATCAAGTTTTCCCTTGTAGGGGAAGGTTTATAATAAATATATATGTTTATATATTTATGTAAACATAAACATGTTTATATATTTTTAAAACATATTATATATGTTTAAAAATAAATGTTTGTTTAAAAAAATTAAAAAATGAAGGCAGTCAAAAATTTCTGAGATAGAGTATAAAAGAATAATAGATTCACTAATTTAGTTAAAGTGGCCAGACCCTTTCTTGACCTTAAAGAGAAAATAAAATTTTAAATAAGAGCAACAGGATAAAATGAACCAGCCATGCAGAAGTCAGAAGATCATGTGAAAAGGTCCTGAGATGGGAAAGACCTTGATCTGTTTGAAAGTGAAAGAAGGGTCAAGAAGTAGGGTAGTTTTAAATAATATGGAGGCAATAATTGAAGATTCAAAAATTCAGTTTTGCATAGTTAATTTAGAGATCTTAAAGAGATATAGAATTGGAGATATTTGGTAGAAAATTAGATATACTAAACTATAGCTCCAATAATGCATGGAGCTGGACATATGGAATTGTGATAAGCAAATGACATTATCTGGAGAAGGAGACAAAATTGTGGTCTGAGATAGAGGGCTGTGAATCTTCCAATATTTAATTATAAATAAAGGAAAGAAAGAGAGCAATAAAAAATTAAAAGGATGTATTCTGGAGGTGAGAGGAAATTTAAAGGTATAGCATCACAGAACTCAAGAGAGAATGGTGTTTCACGTAAGGGTGTGATACTCAGTGTCAAATACTGAGGAAGACAGAAAGGTACTTGTGGAATTATGCTACATTGGCTTGCTCAGCATCTAGTGCTTCCTTCTGTTCAGTAGAGACTGTAATAATAAATGTGACATTTTCCATAATCACATGCAGATTGGTTTCTGGATGTGACTGATTTTTCTAATTAAGTGCTCTCAAACTGACATGGATTTTAAACTAAGTGGGAGAAAGACTGAAGCAGAAAGACAGCCTTTCATTTTTCTTGTGTAAATGCAATAGATGTGATGTAGTTCTGGAGTCTAAAATTCCAGTAGGGACTTCCTGATTAATTCACTGATTGCATCATCTTGCCAGTGAAAACAGACTGGGGAAAGCTTTCTGTCTCATGGATTGCAATCAATGCAGTAAGGTCTTGAAGCTAATAGCTGGTAGAGTAGATTCTTGATCCTTCAACTTCCAGATTGTGCCACAGGTAAGCATTTCTTGGTTTGGTCCATGCTGTGGTGTTTTTCAAGCAACAATTCCTAAAGATCTCACCTAGAGGCTTCTAATACTTTCATGAAATTTTTAAAGTCCTAATTTCATAAATCCCTATGATTTTAAAAAAATAGCTGTGCTTTTTTCTGAGTTTGCAACTGGATTGTAGCTGATTTGTTACGTCAGAGACAAGGCACTTAAGAAATAAGAATCCTTTATAGCAGCATGATTTATAATCCCTTGGGTATATACCCAGTAATGGGGCGGCTGGGTCAAATGCTGTTTCTAGTTCTGTATCCCTGAGGAATCGCCACACTGTCTTCCACAATGGTTGAACTAGTTTACAGTCCCACCAACAGTGTAAAAGTGTTCCTATTTCTCCATATCCTCTCCAGCACCTGTTGTTTCCTGACTTTTTAATGATTGCCATTCTAACTGGTGTGAGATGGTATCTCATTGCGGTTTTGATTTGCATTTCTCTGATGGCCAGTGATGATGAGGTTTTTTTCATGTGTCTGTTGGCTGCATAAACACATATGTTTATTGTGGCACTATTCACAATAGCAAAGACTTGGAACCAACCCAGATGTCCAACAATGATAGACTGGATTAAGAAAATGTGGCACATATACACCATGGAATACTATGCAGCCATAAAAAATGATGAGTTCATGTCCTTTGTAGGGACATGGATGAAGCTGGAAACCATCATTCTCGCAAACTATCGCAAGAACAAAAAACCAAACACCGCATGTTCTCACTCATAGGTGGGAATTGAATAATGAGACACAGGAAGGGGAACATCACACACCACGGCCTGTTGTGGGGTGGGGGGAGGGGGGAGGGATAGCATTAGGAGATATACCTAATGTAAATGACGAGTTAATGGGTGCAGCACAACAACATGGCACAGGTATACATATGTAGCAAACCTGCACATTGTGCACATGTACCCTAGAACTTAGAGTATAATAAATATATATATATAAATATAATAATAATAATAATAATAATCCAGAGGATGGAGAAGAGATGGAGGTATAAACAAAACAAATAATTATTTTGGTAATGATTAAAAGTAGGTGATGAGTTCATAGAATTTACATTATTCTCTGTGTTATACATGTTTGAAATATCACTAATAAAAATTTTGGCCAGGCAAAAAAAAAAAAATGAGAATTCATAGACTCTGGAATGGGTCATCTTACCTGACCTGATTTGAAGACATGAGGATCTGGTTAAAAGGTGATACAGTTTAGCTCTGTGTCCCCCACCCCCTCCCCCCGCCACATGCCAAATCTCACCTTGAATTGTAATAATCCCCACATGTCAAGGGTAGGACCAGCTGGAGGTAATTGAATCATGGGAATGGTTTCCCCCATGCTGTTCTCATGATAGTGAGTGAGTTCTCACAAGAGCTGATGGCTTTATAGGGGGCTTTCCCCTTTGCTTGGCACTCATTCTCTCTCCTGCCTCCCTGTGAAGAGGTGCCTTCCATCATGATTCTAAGTTTCCTGAGGCCTCCCCAGGCATGCTCTTTTCTTTATAAATTACCCAGCCTTAGGTCTTTCTTCATAGCAGCAAGAGAACAGACTAATACACAAGGAGAGGATAAAATACCACCAGTCTGGCAGCCAGTAGCAAAGCATTTCCTTAAAAGGACTGTTCCTTTTAACTTTATTCCTGGCTGGAATAAAGTGCCTGTTAAAGGCCAGGCTTTGGCAGATCATATGGCATCTGGTGCATCACAGAATGATGAGCATGAAGAATACAAAACTTTTGGATAGCCTGACTGTGTTTAGTTGTACTTGAGAGCTAAAGGAAGAATATGACAGGCTCAGGTCTCTACATTCTCAACTCAAGGTAGCATCAGAGAAAAAATCCTTTCATCTCTTGTACCTCAAATTTAGATGCAGAGTCTGATTCTGCAACCTATAATGTAGATTCAATACAGCTTATTGAAGGTGTTTCATTTATTTAAATAAAATAATTTATTAGATGTTCACATGTGTTTTTAAAGAAATTTTACAGAGAATTATTTTTCAGAATGACTGCGATTTGTTTTATTCATATTTTTACATCTTGATTTTTATTTAAAACAATTGCTAAAGCAAGAAAAACTTTTAGCCTTGATGGGTTTAAATATTTTGCATTAATGAAAATGTTCCAATGTTTTACATATTTATGGGCTATATGTGAATGTTGGTTATAGACATACATTGTGTCATGATCAAGTCAGGGTATTCGAGGTATATGTCACCTTAAGTGTTTATTACTTTTATGTGTTGGTATCATTTTAAGTCTCTCTTCTAGTTACTTTGAAATATACATAATATTGTTGCTAAGTATCATCATGCTACTCTGCTATCAAACATTAGAATTTATTTATCCTATCTAACTGTTTGAAGATTTTATGCAAAGGTTAGGGCTTCCATTTGGAAAAACAAGTGGGGTTCAGGGAATTAGATTAATAACATTTAGGAAGATTGCAATGACTCTCAGTATCCCAAATTCAAACTGTACTGAGCAGAAGCAGCTTCTCCATTTCTTCTGAAGAGACTGATTTACTTTGTTTGGAGATCCTGTATGGATTTCTGAGTTTTTTGCTGGTTATCTTTATGCTCCACCATTACTACACTCCATGACCTCCAAAGTTCTATTCAGCACCAGGTCTCCATGTGCCCAAGAGGGCAATTACCAGGTAAAACCATGAAAAGAAGACTTACATGTCAAAATAATTGAAGTCTGCACTAACATGTATGAGCAGAAAGCTGGGGAATATGTTTGAAAAGTCTTCAGTGGTAGACCATGGCGAGAAAAATATTTAGATAAGGCAAAACTTATCAATATGGGACATTTACCAAATATTCTTGATTCAATATGATAGCTTGAGCCCTTGTGAGTGGCTCCTTAGTTGGTTAACTAAAAGCAGAGTTCAACTGTTGTCTACAATGAATGAAGTGACCTGCTGAACACTTCTTGATATTATACACAAGCAGAAATCAAATACATAAAGAAGTAGGGATGTTTGAATAGATTTATCATGAGCAATACACTCACCTACCCTCTAACTATGCTCACTCCTCTCATTTTAGTGGCAATAATGAAATCTGCATGGCAGCATTTTACTGCCAGAGATAATGAAGCTAGGGTTACCATAATAGACACAATTTTAGAACAGGAGAGAGAATTGTTTCATCCATGGGGATCTTTGCTAGTGGCTAATGGATCATGAGTCTCTAAGATTGAAATAGATGAAAAGTACACTAAGGCACCACTTGGTCTCTTTAATGAATACAACTTTAGGTCTGGTGAAAAAAGAAGCTTGATCTATGTTCCACAAGAGAGTTGCATTTCTCATGCAATTACTAGAAAAGGGGATATCCTTGGGGGAAAATCCTGCAATGATATTTTATAAGATAAACGTGTACTACAAATCTTCCTCCACTTGCAGCTATTTACTAGAGTGATTGAGCACTGGGAAAGAAAAACCCAGACCTTTCAGGATTATGGGACATTGGCTTTAAACTAGCAATAATCCCTGGAGACATAGAATATCACTGATCAGAATAAGGGGTTATGAAGTCTGATGAAATAAAGGAATTTTGCCCTGAGTTTATCTCACAGTGGTCTCAGTAAGTAGTGACAATTAGAAATTGCTAAAAACCCACACTGGCTCCCTGAATCCTGAAGTCAAAACCATCATCACAGGAAGAAGAAGCGGCTCAAGCTTCTCAACGCTGCCAAACTAGTAAACCATAAACTATACCATCTGTGGTAAATCAAAGCTATCAGTGCTGCTCTCAAAGACTTGAGACATACACGGATGGTAATTTCTCTCATTTATTTAATTTGGAATAAGAAAGGAATAAGAGTGCCAGAAATATGTGAATATATATAAAATATTTTTTCTTCATTTGTTTAAAGGGATATTGATTTTTAAAGTAAAATACTAGCAATGTTTCGTGGGGTTTATAACATTAGAGAAGTAAATTCATGATAATGATAGCACAAATGATGGGGGTATTGTAAATGTCTTACATTATATGTGAATCAATATAAAAGTAATTCGAGTTTGATTGCAATAAATTAAGAATGCATGTTATTATCCCCAGAGACTAAAAACAATAAAACCAAGACTCAGTACTAAAAACCCAAAATAGGGGATAAATGAAATGCTAAAATATACTCAATCAATACAAAAGAAAGCAGGAAGAAAAAGGATGGGGAAAAGTAAACAAAAAGTAAGACAAAAGCAAACATTGTCAGATAGAAAAGGGGAAATAAATAAATCCAAAATTATGGTTGGAGAACTTACTCCATTTTTAGTAATTTATTTAAAAATCAGAGAAAAGTCATTAAGAAAATAGAAAATTTGAATACATATATTGAGAAACTGGACCAAATGATATTTAGAGAGCACTACACACAACTTGAAAATAAATATTGTTTACAAGTATATGCAGAATAGTCACAAGTTATACCGTATGTTGTGCCATGAAACAATGTCAATACATTTCAAAGAACTGACATTAGAAATAAAAGAAGGTGGCAGGGCGCGGTGGCTCACGCCTGTAATCCCAGCACTTTGGGAGGCGGAGGCGGGCAGATCATGAGGTCAGGAGATCGAGACCATCCTGGCTAACACGGTGAAACCCCGTCTCTACTAAAAATGCAAAAAAATGAGCCGGGCGTGGTGGCGGGCACCTGTAATCCCAGCTACTCGGGAGGCTGAGGCAGGAGAATGGCGAGAACCCGGGAGGCGGAGCTTGCAGTGAGCCGAGATGGCGCCACTGGACTCCAGCCTGGGCGACTGAGGGAGACTCCATCTCAAAAAATAAAATAAAATAAAATAAAATAAATAAAAATAAAAAATAAAAGAAGGTAGAAAAAACGAGTGCTATTACTTAGCCTTTTTCACTCTTGTCACCCTACTGAAATCAGTGGGCTCATTTCAACTGTTCTCATTCTCATCTGCATCTCTCACTACAGAGAGCAATAACTATGCATTTCTCAGACACACACGTTCTCTGACAAGATTAGAATAAAGTTTGAAATCAACAGCAATATTTGGAAATAAAGCTGCAAACATCTAAGTATTAGTAAAAACAAAAATACAAAGGATGCTAGAATATATTTTGATATGAATGTAAATCAAAAACACTACATACTAAAATTTTGTGCTATGAAGCTAAAACAGTACTAAGAAAGAATGTTGTAATTTTTGGATATATATTTCCAATATATTGGAAAGGATAAAACTTTAAAATCAATGATCCCAGCTCAAAAAGCAAAAAAGAACAAATTAGTAGGAGGAAGAAAATAAGAGAAATAGTCATTGAAATAGAAAAGACAGAAAAAAAAAACACCTCTTAATACTGTTACAGTGGTAATTAAGTTTCTAACATGCTTTCTGGGGGACACATCGAAACCATAGCAGCAGTTAAAGCATTTGATAAAATTCAACATCTTTCATAATAAAAACTCTAAGCAAACTAAATTAAAAGAGAACTTCTGCTGGTCCAAGCGCGGTAGTGTTTACAACTAATTAATCACAATCAGTTACAGGTTTCTTTGGTCATTCTCCACTCCCACTGCTTCACTTGACTAGCTTAAAGAAAAAGAGAGATAGAACCTCATAATCTGATTTTTTTAAGTATCTAAAAACAAACAAACAAAAAGCTAACATTACATTACAGCTAACATTATAGTTTAATGTGAGAAGTTAAATGCTTTCCCATCAAGTACAGGGAAAGGACAAATATAATTACTCTCATATCACATCTAATCAACATGGTACTGATACAGGAGTTTTAGCTATGCAAAAAGAAAAAAGTATAAAAGTTGTAAAGAGAAAAACAAAACTGCCTTTCTTTGCAGAAAATGACTGTGTATATAGAAAATCCAAAGGAATGGGCAAATACATTATTAGAGTTCATAAGTGAAATTAGACATATAATAGGATAAAGTTCAATAAAAATCAATTATATGTCTAAACACTAGCAGTAATGAAATTAAAACTAAATTTTAAAATAATATAATTTATAATAGCATCATAGGTATCAGAAACCGAGGTATAAATCTAATTAAGGAAGCACAAACCTTTAATCTGAAAATTTTAAAACATTATAGAAGGAAATTAAAGAATAACTACATAAACAGAGGGATATTCAGTATTTATGTATCAGAAGACTCAAATTTGTTAGGATATTAATTTTACCCTTAATGATATAAAGATTTAATAGAATTTCAACCAAAGCCATGGGAGGTTATTTTACTAAAATTGATAAGATAATTTTAAAATGTATTTAGAAATCTAAAGGTGCAAGAATATTTTCTGGGAAAAGATTGAACAGATTTGAAGGACTTACATCATAATTTTAAAATGCACTAAAAAAAGATAGTTTGGCATAGTCAAAAAGATAGATAAATAAACTAAAGGAAGGAGAAAGAATATAAGATGGACCTACACATATTTAATAACTTGACTTAAGATGTCACTGAACTTCATCTGAGAAAGAACTATATTTAAATGGTATTTAAATAACTAAATATCAGTATGAAATAAATTAACATTAGCTTTTACCTCACATGATACAAAACACCTGATGTGAAAAAATAAAGCTTTCAGAAAAAAACATGGAATGATATTCCATGTCCTTGTTATAGACATATATTCTTTAGATAGGATACACACACTATTAAAAAAGAAAAATAATGAATTATATTCTAATAAAATTAGAAACTTGTGCTTGTTGAAATTTACCAAATGGAAAGACATTTAGAAAAGGTACTCACGTTACATATATACAAAAAGAACAAAGAACTTATATACAGAATATATAAAGAACACTTACTTTGGGAGGCTGGGGCAGGTGGATCACTTGAGGCCAGGAGTTCAAAACAAACTGGGGCAACATACTGAGACCTTTCTCTACAAAAAAATTAAAAATGAAAAAAAATTAGCCGATGTAGTGGTATGTGCCTGTAGACTTAACGATTTGGGAGTTCTAGGCAGGTGCATCAGGAGGATCACTTGAGCCCAGGAGTTTGAGGTCACAATGAGCTGTGATCTTGCCACTGTACTCCAGCAAGGGGGACAGAAAGAGACCATGTCTCAAAAAAACAAAAACAAAACAAAACAAAAGTACTATTACTCAATTATAGAGGAGAACAAACACAATTTAGAATGGCCAAAATATTTGAACAAACAACTAGAAAGTATACACAAATAGCCAGTGAACATTTGAAAATATACTCAATACCATTACTCAAGAGGAAATGTAAACCAAACCACAAGGAGCTACTGCAACACTCCCACTCACACAATTACATTAAGAAGCTTTAGCAACGCAGGCTGTTGGTGAGAATAAAGAACAATGGCACATCTCATAGACTGCAGATAGAGTATGAAATGGCACAATTGCCTTGGAAACCTGATAATATCCACCCATTCTATAATCTAGCAATATAAGAAAAAACAATAATTCTAGGTATATAGAATACTGTTGATATCTAACAGACATATTTAGATAGATGATAGATAGATAGATAGATAGATAGATAGATAGATAGATAGTAGATAGAAAGGTAGTATTGAACTAGTGAAACACACAAAACACAGATGAATCTTATATTTATTTTGTTGAATAAAGGAAGCCAGACACAAAAGAATACATACTATGTGTGTCCATGTATATGTATCTGAAAAACATACAAAACGAATCCATGGTAATAGAAGTCAAAATATTCCTTGCCTCTGAGTGGAGGAATTAACTAGGAAAACCAATGAGAGAACGTTTGAAAGTGTCAGGAAAGGTCTATATCTTGATTTGATTGGTAGTAACATGATAAACTCATATAAAAATTCATATTAAGTGTACACTTGCTATTAGTGCACTTTAAGTAATTTATTTTTTGTGTATGTTTCTTCTTGAGATTATATATACATTGGTCCTGTCTGCATGACTACTCAAAACAATAAATAAATTTTATATAAAATGTTTTTACTAATTTTTTTTTTTTTTACTTTTTCTGACTACACAATTATTTATACAGGTTTTCTGAGACTACCCTTCCATGCAAAAAGAAAAGTTAAAAAAATGTACAACCTCCCATGGGAAAAATCTTCTTTAATTAAGTATGACAATATCTTTATTAAGAAATAAAAAGTATGTTTTGTATGTTAAAATTACACCTATAATGTCCTCCTAGAAGAATTGCTTGTTCTTGTTCTGTGATACAATCCAATATTCACAGAGAGTCAAGAATGTCACTTTCTGACAGGTCGGAAACATTGTTAAACATAGGAATCTCTGAGAAAGTATTAGTTATGAGTTTAATAGGCAAAATCTGGCAGTCATAGTTTTGCTGATTCTTGGTTCCTGATCTTAGTAGATAAGCTTAAAAACACAGCAAAATATCTCTGACACACAACAGTAAATTACAATCCTAGAAGTTTTACAAATCCTCTGCAGTGTTATTAACTCATAAACCTTAGATTCTTGTGGCTCCATTTTTCAAAACTAAATGTTAAGAAAGTCTGGATGTGTTCATTAATAACACTTTTAACTCCCATAAATAAAACTGATCAAATAAAAAATCAAATTAAGGATACTACCATTCTTCAAATGTCTATGGTCAAATCCATGCCCTCAGGACAGAAATCTGCCCACATGAGGGATTTTGGGAAAAAAAAGCTGACCCTTGGTCCTGCTGCATTGCACATAGACACACACAATATGTCCCACTGTCCCATATTTTGCACTTTTGGATAAGCAAAAATAATAGGCTTGTCCTGCCTAGTTCCAGTCCCCAAAGAATAATTCTAGGTATATAAAAAAACTGTTGATATCCAAGATAAATATTTAGATAGATGGATAAAATTGAGCTACTGAAACACACAAAAACATGGATGAATCTTACATTCATTGTGTTGAGTAAAGGAAGTCAGACACAAAAGAATACATACTAAGTGTGTCCATTTATGAATCTCAAAAACATACAAAAGTAATCCATGGTCCTTAAGAATTATAAGAGAGACCGGGCATGGTGGCTCATGGTTACAATCCTACCACTTTAGGAGGTGGAGGCAGGAGGATCACTTAAGTTCAGGAGTTTGAGATCAGCCTGGGCAATACAGGAAGAGCTTTATCTACTAAAATTGTTTTTTAAAAGTTAGCCGGCCGGGCGCGGTGGCTCACGCCTGTAATCCCAGCACTTTGGGAGGCCGAGGCGGGCGGATCACGAGGTCAGGAGATCGAGACCATCCTGGCTAAAACGGTGAAACCCCGTCTCTACTAAAAATACAAAAAATTAGCCGGGCGTAGTGGCGGGCGCCTGTAGTCCCAGCTACTTGGGAGGCTGAGGCAGGAGAATGGCGTGAACCCGGGAGGCGGAGCTTGCAGTGAGCCGAGATCCCGCCACTGCACTCCAGCCTGGGCGACAGAGCGAGACTCCGTCTCAAAAAAAAAAAAAAAAAAAAAAAAGTTAGCCAGGTATGGTGGCACACACACACAGCCGTAGTTCCAGCTAGTTGGGGGGCTGTAGGGGGAGGAGTTTGAGCTCAGAAGACTGAGGCTGCAGTGAGCCTCATGCAGTGAGCCTCATGAGTGCATGGTCATACCACTGCACTCTAGCCTAGACAACAGAGAAAGACCTTGTCTTAGAACAAAAACTATGAGAAATAGTTCTTATTTCTAGTGACCAAATGAAACCTTGAGCATTTCCTGTGAATTACCGCTACCATGAGAAAAACAACATTATCACTGACTTTTGCAATGTTATTGTCAAAGGATGTGACAATATCCTTCATCATATACTTCATGACATATCCAGTCTCTTTATTGCACAAAAAGAAACATGTTTTATCCTTTTTATCATATGTACAAAAATAATGATATTGGTACCAATAAAAAAGATATTGTTATCATTATTTTTATACACATGATAAAAAGGATAAAACATGTTTCTTTTTGTGCAATGAATAGAATAATCTGAACTTGCTAGTCTTGCCTCCCCCTCCCCTTCAGATGCCTCTTGGGTTTTTATATTTGGCAAAGTGGACCTTCTCCAGTCTTTACAAACCAACTTTATTTTTTTTCTACTTGATATTGTCTCTGAATTTTTCTTTCACAAAAATGAATTATGTGTATCATTACTAGTGTCTTAGCTTCCTTCAAAATACTAGAGAGAGACAGCATTTTGAAGGCAATTGTGATTCATGTACAACAGAGAACATGAGTTAATGTAGATATATTCACAAAGTAGGTATCTTCAATGCCAGCAGTTAAACACATTAGTTTTAGTCATACTTATTATTTCAATAAGCAGAAAATCACTTTTTATAATCATTGTGATTATATTTCAGTCAAGCATTTTATGTTACATGATTACCATAACTTAGCTATCATATATATTCATTTAAATGACAATGTAGTTTGGCTCCATTCTTTGTCAATGGAATCCATATTTGAATTGCCTATTCTTGGGTCTGTGGTTTTTTGGACTACATGGATTTTAGAGACTAATGCCTGCTTAAGTAGGGTGCAACAGAAACCCACATGCAACCAAGTTAGTCATTTAGCAGTCAGACAGTAATTTTAATCTCCTGGGAAATAATCTACTCTGTAAGAAACAAAATCAGAACACATAGAGCTTTTTGGAATCCCAGAGATATAAAATCAAATCTTTAATCAAAGGAGAAAAAGTTTTAAGTATCTAACGGTACTTCTGGAAATTTTGAAACATGTTGTAATCATCCTAATTGGCATGGTCTGATAGAAATAGAAATGTGCCAATTAAAAAAATCATAATGCTAATTGGTCGCTCAGAAAAACACACAGTTATTCCATAATTTCACATTTATCACATTATTTTATTTGGGAGAAAATGCATTAAAAATTTTTCAACACTTCATAAACTAAAGCAGGTGGGGAACAAAAAGAGAAGATATGCACCCAAAGAAACTACCTGAAACCAAGAGTAGCTGTCTGGGCAAAGGAGAAAAAGACTTTCTAATTAGCTCTCTGATGCATCTACAGTCATCCGTTTTTACAGTTCAGGCAGCAGGATCTAGCCTACACTAGTGTCAGGGTTTATGTGTAATCTTCAGGTGTCATTGAATATAAATCTCAGTGAAAATCATGGTGATAGTCAAGAAATGAGCTCTTTCTTCAATTCTGAGCAACATACTGAAAAAACATCATAAGAGTTTGAAAAGGAGAGTTTTTTCCCTCTGCTAGATGGAGAGTGTTTTTTTTTTCTTTCCTCTTACCAAACTGACAATGATATAAAATTTTCTAACTTAAAAGATTTCTCTTTCATTTTTAGCCAGCTTACTTGATCTGGGGGTTAAGAATAGCTTCCCGTAATGGTGTCAATCTGGTGAAAAAGAGTTTCTCAGAGGAAGTAGCTAGTCAGTTGCTGTCTGGGCAAAGTGTAATGTAAAGAGAGTGGGATCATCCAGAACCCTCCTCCTCTGTCTCCTGCTTCTTCCACCACGTCCAGCTGGTTTTTCCTCAAACTATGGCTTAAAACTGAGAAAAAAGAAATAGACCTGGCAGAAGCATGTGACAAAAGCTCTATGGAAAACTACCTTTACTACAACACTGACTCTGTAGCTCACAGCTAATTAATCCCACAATAGAATGTGAGTTGGCTAGTTGTATTTTGAATGTCCTCAAGTGACTTCTCTTGACGGGACTTGCCACCAAGGGTTTTAAGCTTTCACCCTATTTAATATTCATGTCTAAAGAAGCAAAGTGCCTTGGGATATTAAGAATTTTTTAAAAATTGGTCCTTTAGGTTTAGATTATAATGGAAAATTCAACAGCTAGAGCTGCTGGAGACAAAAGGTGAACAATTCACATTCTGGATGTAAACTATCAACTATATGCTGAATAGGAAAAGGCATAATTCTGGGACAGTGAAGTGGCAGTTTTTGCAATGGAGTGGCTAAGTAAATGGTACCCACACAAAGTTAATATCCCAAATGAATTATTCCTGAGAGTAAGGTTCTTCACAATAGGAATACCATTTCAACAAAAGATTTAGTTTGGATGGATGAAAGAGGTGAAATCAATTTAAAAAATTAATTTATGGTTCTCTATTTAATAAAGCATCGTCCCCTTATGTATATAACTTATTGCCTGTTAGTCATTAGGCCTTTGATATATACTGTGACTTGTACCATATTTAACCCATGGGAAGCAGATTCAAAATTTGCTAGGAATTTAGCTAGCTGTATGTTTTCTGCCAATAGTGCTCTATTGGCATGGATGTGTGTATACAGCATGGAAATAAAGTGCAACTAAAGACAGAAAGGATTTGTCTAAAATTCTTAGCAAAGCAACTCTTGAGTATATATTCATGTTGTACCTTATGGCAGTTGTTTGCCTGGGTGAAATTTTGGAAAAATTCCCAAGTAATGCTGAGGGTCACTTTTGATTAAGAACCACCATAATGAGGAGTTAGAATGAGAATGTAGATATTTCCTTACTCTTTTATTTTAGGAAAAAAATTTGGAAAGCATGTATTTTTTACTTCCCTGTTTTATTTTCGTGTATTTTTTTTTAAAAAACATACTCTATGTTTTAATCCTTTAAATTTCTTCCTTTTGATAACATCCACTTAACCATACCCATGAACTTTTCTAAGATGTGCCTGATTATCATATGTAGGTAATATTATTACCTAATAGGTCAAAAATTATTCCTTTCTAAGATCTTACTGATAAATGAAATGGGAGAGAGAAGAGTTAAAAAAAATAAAGTTCAAGGCACACTAATAGGGCAAAGTGTTTATTGTTATTGCTGCTATTTTTCAAATCTCGTGTTCTTTCTACTATCACACATTACCAGGGATCAGTGTTGTCTACAATTAAATAAGGTTCATTCCACCTCTTAAAAAAGTCTATTTAGTCCTTATCTCAGGGTGACTCAACCCTGGCCACAAGGACAGCTGCCTATATACATCACAAAGGCTAAACATGCCTTTTTTCATACTAAGTTTACTAGAAAATTTAAAAAATTTCCTCTGTGTTCAAACAGATGGTAATAATGGATAAAATGACTCATATTTCTTTGGATTTAGAAAGTGTATTTCCAAGAATCCATTGTTAAAATAAAAATTCCTCTGGGAAGTATAATATATAAATTCAATATTAGGTATTAAAACTTCCAGCTGGACTAATTTTCCTAGTAATCCTTCATCAGTTTGGCAAGTAGAAGACAGAAAAGTCAATGTATAGGGAAATCTGGACTTTAAAACTTTATTAGGCTAGTGGGTATGGAAAAGGTCTAAAACATGTAATGGTTCCAAAACTTGCACTGGGATAGGGAAATAAAGTAGGGAAATACAGAAACTCTTAAATAGCGTGTCAGCCCTGGGCATCTGAGAGAAATGGCTGGATGTAGCAACTGTGAGTGAGAAGAATAGGGCAGATGAAATAGTACTAAATGCAAACACTAAAGCCTTCATCTACTTCAGATAGACTAATGTAGAATATAAACTCAGGCCAAATAGGTTGACATAGTTTGTATATTTTTTCCCACTCAAATCGCATATTGAATTGTAATCTCCAAAGTGGGAGGTGTTTGGATTATGTGGGCAGATTCCTCATGAATGGTGTAGTGATGGCCCTTTGGGGATAAGTGAGCCATTGCCCTAAATTCACATGAGAACTGGTTGTTTAAAAGTGTGTGGCACCTCCCTCCACACCCCTCTTGTCTCTTTTTGCCATGTGATGTTCCTGCCCCCAATTCACCTTCTGCCATGATTGTAAACTTCCTGAGGCCTCCCTAGAAGCAGAGCAGATGCCAGTACCATGCTTCCTGTAAAGTCTGCAGAACTATGAGCCAATTTAACCACTTTTGCTTATAAATTAGTCACTCAGATATTTGTAGCAATGCGAGAATGGCCTGATACATAGGTATTTAATGCAAAGAACATTAATTCTAGAAGAGACATAGTATCACTTATTCTAATTTTGATTTTCACAGAAAGGAAACTGAATAGCAGTGATATTAAGTGAAGCACAAGGTAGTATCATTTGTACATGGCAAATGTTTTAGTGTAAAGTTTTTGTTCAGCACTTTGCATAGCACCTGGCACCTAATAAATAGCTCCTCCAAAATATATGCTGACTGACTGCTCACATGGCAGTCATTTCTACTTTTATTTGAATGAATTATTGCTAGTGTTTTAATTTATACAGAGCCCTTCCTTGATAAGTAGTATATCTAAATGTGCTTTAAAACCATTTTTTCTTAATTGTTTTGCTAAATTGTTAATTTTTTTCAGATTTCAACAGGTTTTGAAGAGTGGAAGGTCTTATTTAGGATAATGGATAATTAACACTGGATATCAGATGCAGCATGCAGGCAATTTATTTTCTCTGTATTGGTATCAAACACACTGGGAGCCTGATCTGACTCCCATTATATATGGATCCAGCATAATAACTGCCATCACTGAAAAGAGATCCTCCAGAAGAAATACATGGAATTATTTCAAGTTACTATTGGTGGACATTTTGGTAAGTATATTTTTGTTGCTAAATCAAGTTGTTGATATCAGGTGGTAGACAAAAAGAGTTTCTAACACCCTAGTGACCAAAGGACATCTTTCCATAAAGAATAATGACTTATTCTTTTTTCTCTTTTTTTTTTTTTGAGACATAGTCTCACTGTGTCACCCAGGCTAGAGTGCGGTGGCACGATCTGGGCTCACTGCAACTTCAGCCTCTCGGGTTCAAGCAATTCTCATGCCTCAGCCTCCAGAGTAGCTGTGATTACAGGCATGTGACACCACCGTAGGCTAACTTCTGTATTTTTTAGTAGAGACAAGGTTTTGCCATGTTGGCCAGGCTGGTCTCAAACTTCTGGCCTCAAATGATCTGCCTGCCTTGGCCTCCCAACATGGTGGGATTATAGACATAAGCCACTGCACCCAGACAAGAATAATGACTTCTGATATTTCCTGTTTTGCTATAAATATTATAATTTTCTTAGGACTATTAACCGTGATTCTAATGACTCAGTCTACACAATAAACTGTATTTGTTTAACTGATAAAACATGTATATTTATTTTATTTGAATTATGCACATGAAACTGAAGTCATGCCTCCTGTTTATCTGTGGATTGCAAGTGTTAAGGCCTTAAAAAACTGTTAAATAAGTAACTCTTATAGACCATCTATGTAATTTTAAAAAATAATAAACTCATCCACCTTATCCAGGTATTTTGGATTTGCTCACTGTTCTCTTTCTTTCTCCATGAATAAATTCTGACTTATAGAACTCTAAAGCAATCTTTTAAAAATCAGTCCTATTTCATTAAAACCATTTATTAATATAAATATAATGACTCTTCAAACTACTGTTTTAAAAATTCTTTTTACAAGCATTTCTCTTCCATTAAACACACTAAAATTGGCTATAAAAATGCTTTGAAGCCAGGTAGTAATGCTCCTATTATTGGTCTATGTCCTTCTTTCAGGTGATGATATGTCACATACTCCATCTCTTTCACACGTATTTTTTTGTTGGGAGACAATTCTTCTGGGATCTCTTGTGTTTCTGCATGACTTTTGAGCAGAACCACTGACAGCCTTCATTGCAGAATATCTTTGCAAGGTTGCTTGTATAATGAACACCTTGGAAGAACAGAGATAATACCTGTCAGAGCAAAGGGCAGATTTGTTTACTGTCCATTGTAATAAAGATTATGCCTCCCTCTGGGTGAAGGTCAGGCATGTGTTTCTTACTGACTATTATAAAAGATTTTGATTCCTTAAGCTCAGGATGCCACAGCTGTAACACACACCCTCTCCACGTGCAGCATCTACTTGGATGCCTCCACTTCACCCCTGTGCCATTTGGGAGGCATAGGCAGCCGATGTAAGCATGATGGTAATGCTCATGCTATTTGGTGTGCCTCTAGTAATAACATCTTTTTATTTTTTTTCTGTGATTCAGAAGTCTGTGGCTTGTACCAGTATCCATAAAACTGTGGCAGACTAAGTGGTTAACTTGTAAGTAGGGTAAAATCTCAGATCTTGCACAGTTCTTGACAATACTTATGTTTTTCTAGTCAATTCCACACCTACTAAAAACTTCCATCTTATAGATGTATGTTCAATGATTTTAAAAAATTAGCTATACAAGTGTTTGGAGATACCAACCATGAGCACCTTCTCAGATTTTCCTGATTGCATCTGTCTTTCTCTTGGTTAGCACTACCTAGGCTGAGTTGTCCCTCCACAGCACAAGATGTGACATCCAGCTGTCTAAGCATCTGTCAAAAAGCTACATGATGAAACCTTTAAGTTAGGTTGAGTCAGCTCCCCTTGCCATGGAAAAACTTCAGCTGTATTTCGTCAAATACTTTTTCTGCCTTGTTCTCTTTGTCCTCTTCTGCTATTCCAGTTATGCTTAAATAACACCATTTGATATTGTATCATAGTTTTCAAAGATTGTGTTCTCTTGTTGATGTTGCTTTATTATATATTTTTCTCTTTGTCTTTCAGTTTGGATAGTTTTTATTGCCCTATCTGAAAGCTCACTGATCCTTTGCCTATCTGTAGTAAGTTTAAGTCTCTGTTGTGCTCATTAAAGGCATGCTTCAGTGGGCCAGGCGTGGTGGCGCACGCCCATAATCCCAGCACTCTGGGAGGCTGAGGTGGGTGGATCACCTGAGGTCAGGAGTTTGAGACCAGCCTGACCAACATTGTGAAACCCCATTTCTACTGAATAACAAAATTAGCCCGGTGTGGTGGTGCATGCCTGTAATCTCAGCTACTTAGAAGGCTGAGGCAGCAGAATCACTTGAACCTGGGAGACGGAGTTGGCAGTGAGCTGAGACTGTGCCATTGCACTCCAGGCTGGGCAACAAGAGTGAAACTCTGTCTCAAAAAAAAAAAAAAATAAGAAAAAAGGCATATTTCATTTATGTTGCTGTGTTTTTTATTTCTGGCATTTAGTTTCGATTATTTCTTATAGTTTCCATTTATTTATTGATATTACCAAATCAGTCTTGTTTGTTGTCTACCTTTCCCTTCAGACTTTATGAGTAACATATTACTTGCAATCATTTTAACTTCTCTGCCTGATTATTTTAACATCTGTGTCCTATGTGAGTGTGGTTCTGATCATTGCTTTGCCTCTTCAGCCTGTGTTTTTTTTCTTTCCCTTTGGCATACCTTGAAATTTTTGGTTGAAAGCCAAACACATTGTATAGGGCAGGAGAAACTGAGATAAGCTGGTCTTCAGCATGAAGGTTTATGTTTATCTGGCTAGCAATTTTCTGTATTTGATATTTGTTGCAGCAAAGGCCATCAGAGGTGTCAGATTCCTCCAGTAACCTTGCTCATGTTTCTTTTCTTGGCTTTGGTGCTTCCTTTTGCATTACTCCCCAGAAAAAATGTCCTTTTTAGTTCTTCCAGCTGTACTGGTATTGTTACTGAAGTCTTACAGGCTTGGTGATAGGATGTAGGGAGAGAGGGACATTTTGTAATCTTCTAATGTATGTCTTAAACTTTGGAATGCACATGGAATCTGTATCTCAACGGTTATATGGCTTTTCCTCCCAGCGCTCTAACCCCTTCCTCAGCTGTAGCAGGTTCTTAAAACCCTCTTTTTTTGTGGATTGTTCCCATCCTACTTAGGTGAGATGGCGGATAGAGAAGGGCCAAAGATGGGTTGAGCTCCCCTCCCTTACTGGAATGAGATTTCACTATTGCCCTCTGGCTACGAAATTTTTCCTACAGATTAATGCTTTTGCTCTGTAAATTAAATGAAAGGATATTGACAAGTTTAACAATGTTCACATTTCCCCATCCCCTGCAGGGATTTTTGGGGAAGAGCTTTCTCCAGATTCACCTGGATCTTCCCTGTGAGAGCCTTGTGAGGTGCTTAGAAGAAGCATCAGGGAAAGTCTGAGAGCCACCCGCGATGAGGCTCCTAGTAGTACCTCCTTACATTCATGCTAGCCCATATTGGTCCTGCAGCAATTCATCAAAATTTCTAGTTTAATGTTCCCACCAGTTTATGGCATCTGGTGGCTTCTATTCCAGGTAAGCCAGCCTTGGGTCCTGTGTCTCCCTGGAGGTATTTGTCTTTCCAGATTCTGGAACAGTGGTTTATCCTACCACATTTTCTGATGGATCTGAGAAAAATTGTTGATTTTTAGTTTTTTGTTTGCCCAGCTTTTTCCTGTTGAAAGAATGATAATGACAATTTTCTTCCTCATTGTATGTCTGAGCTAAAACCAGAAGTCTTATAATAGTAAATAAGAGAAAGAATAAATAATACCTCCTTCCTTTCTTTCTTCTGAAGACTGCTGGGATGTTTTTCTTTCAATCCTTCTGAGGAAGCCCCATTTGCCAATGAATGTGTCTTCTCAGCAAACTCCTTTGTCTCTGTACCAATCATTGCAAAGAAGTAACCAACTCAGTAATGTATTGTACTTCATTGCTTCACACATGTCCTGCATCTTCAATTTCCTTCCCCTTGCCACCCTGAACTCACAACCTTAAATCAGCACCTTAATCCTAGTCTTGTGCTCTACTTTCTAGATGACGTGGGCTGAGACAACAAGCAAAATATACACACATCTCATTACAAAGTACTCAAGCAATATAAAAATATACATATATATATATATATTTTAAGTCAATTTTGTTTCTCCAAAATCAATGTTAATAGTTTGATGTGTACCTTTCACTCCTTTATCTATTCACCTGCATACATATCTTTTTCTTTTATACAAATAAGGTAACATTCCCAAAATTACATTTTTATTTTTAAAATATTTCTGTGTTTGTAAATAAGATCTACCTCATTCATTTTGATAGCTACAAAGTGTTCCATTGTACGGGCCCACCAATTATTATTATTATTATTACTTTAGACAGAGTTTCACTCTTGTTGCCCAGGCTGGAGTGTACTGGCACAATCTCGGCTCACTGCAACCTCTACCTCCTGAGTTCAAGCGATTCTCCTGCCTCAGCCTCCCAAGTAGCTGGGATTACAGGCATGTGCCACCACAGCCTGCTAATTTTTTGTATTTAGTAGAGATGGGGTTTCACCAAGTTGGTCAGGCTAGTCTTGAACTCCTGACCTCAGGTGATCCACCTGCCTCCGCCGCCTAAGGTGCTGGGATTACAGGCATGAGCCACCGCACCCAACCTCGTCCCACAAATTATTTAATTATTCCTTTACTGGTACTCATTTAAATTTTTTCCTGATTTTACTTATTGTAAAACAATTAAAGCTACAATAAACATCGTTTGATATATATCCTTGTGCGTATGTGTGCATATTTTTATAGATTAGATTCCTAAAGGTGGAATTACCAGACATTGTACTGGACATTTTAGATACATTTTAGCGTATAATCTCAACACTTCGAGATAGGTACTATTATTTTTACTTTTAAATTAGAAACTGAATTTTAAATAACTTTCTCAAAGAGACACAACTATAAAGTTGTGATGATGGAATCTGAAACAGATAGTCTATCTTAGAACCCTTTACTCACATATTATGATATAGTGCCTCCTCCAAAATATGCTTATTCTTACATTTTGATTTAAACTGATATATTACCTAAAAATAAGGCTTTGCTGATGTGTGCTCCCACCAAACAGTAGTTTCCACTCATCTTGCTCAACACTACCCTGGAAAAAAAAAACCAAAAAAAAAAAAAAAGAGGCTCTGAAACTGTCCTCAGCATTAAGCAATGTTTTATCTGCTTTTCTGAATGTTTGGTAGTGTCATTGCCCCTTGTCAAATCATGAAACTTTCTAGTGATTTTTCTTCCAAACTTGAAAATCCTTTAAAAGAGGGATGCTTCCATGCTGTTATTGTTCAGGGGTAGTTTCATATGGAAAACATCTAAGTTTAATCCTATTAGCCTCAAAATAATAACAATATATGTATATATGTGTCTATATATATATATTTAATATGTGTCCAAGTGCATTCTATATCCTTTAAACTGAAGCAATTCTTTTTCATTGATAAATGTATCATTATTGGAGTGATTTAACCTCATGTTTATTGCTAAGTTCATTGCTGAGAGCCTAAGAAAGAGCATCTGATCTGGTGTAACACTAGATTGTCAGTTGTTTTGAATTTCTTGTTGTTAAAAATATTCTAATAAACTGGAAACAGTATATATATATATATTCTGTCTTTTGTGTTTTCTTTTTCTTTTTTTTTTTTCTTTGACAGAGTCTTGCTGTGTCACCCACACTGAAGTGCAGTGACGTGATCTCTGCTCACTGCACTCTCCATTTCTCACTTCCCTGGTTCAAGCAATTCTCCTGCCTCAGCTTCCAGAGTAGCTGGGATTACAGGTGCATGCTACCACATCCTGCTAATTTTTGTATTTTTTAGTAGAGACGAGGTTTTTCCATGTTGACCAGACTAGTCTTGAATTCCTGGTCTCAAGTGATCCATCTGCCTCACCCCACAAAGTGCTGGGATTACAGGCATGAGCCATCGTGCCTGGCTATTTTGTCTTTTTAATAAACTCATGTATGCTCATGGTTGGAAATTTAATTTAGATATATTCACACCTTTTATAAGGTAGGTAAAGATTGATATAAGTATGTTATATAAACAGAATTACTGATGCTATTAACATTTTATGTAACCTTGAATATATTCCTACATTTTCAGAACAATTTGACAGAAGTTAAACTAACTTAGAGGAGACAGTGTGTGTGTGTGTGTGTGTGTGTGTGTAACCAAAACAAATGACTAAAACCACTGGTTAAGTTACAGAAACTAGCTGCTCAGACAATTCCAGTTTCCAGTTCCTTTGATGAGGAGGATCTTCAGAAGGTGGCATTGGCATGGGGGAATTGTCTTCTTTTTGTACCCCCTTTACTTTGATAGGACTACAATATGTTTATTATTGGTTTCCACCATAATAGATCAATCCGTTTACCCAGGATATTTTAGAATTTTTTGTTATTTTACTAAAATTCTTAAGATTGGTTTATAAGACTGAGATTCCATAGATTTTGTTTCTGTGAAAACATGACTACAGCTTTTAGAAATGCACAAAAAATCCCTCTGCCAAATCATTGATAAAACTTACTATCTAGAAGGCTTGGGCACATTAAGCTTACCCTAGAGAGATGTGAGCATGCAATTTTGGGAAATACAGGTACAGAGGATGGTTAGGGGTTTACTCTCAGGAGTCTTGGAAAATCCAATCTTTGAGTGAGGGGCAGCTATAAAGATTTGTCAAATGAAAATCAAATCTGGACTGGATTATTGTAAGAGGAGGAGGGAAGGGGACAATTGCAATGGGGGGACAATTGCAATAGGGAGAACACTGTGATTGTAAGATCTGAAGCTTCTGAAGAGTTCAGCAAAAGATATTTTCTTTTACAGAGACAGGGATAAACAAGGCTAGAAAGAACCAAGTGTGGGAGAGTGGAATGAAAGAGTGGTATGCTCAGAGAGTAGACCAGGGAATGTTGTCCATGACGCTAGCCTGTTCTCATGAAGGATTGCATGCCGGCTCAGGATGAGAGTGAACCAAAACTCAGGGCCTCCAGAGAAGGAGAGAAGCTTAATGAAGAGTCTGGTTAACAAGCATGTAGCCCTGATTGATCAGCAGGAGCAAGCAGTGCAACTAATTATTTATAGGACCAAAAAAACCCAGAATGTACAGGGTCTGTGTCTGGCTTTGTCATAAGTAGATAAGGGTAAGGAAATCAGTGAGTCTTATTCTGTCTTATGGAAAAGAATGTTTATTATTTAGTAAGCCATTCTTCAGAACTTAAAATAGTAAGAGGATTTCATAGCTTTCACTGTTTTTCACAAGCACAGGATTTGGGTAAAGTTCGGCGTTGTTAGATTAGAAGTTGTTTTCTTTAGATAGCTCTAAGAACTGTGGTCTCTGCAGCTCTTAAACTTGTATCTCCTGAGCCTCCTGGGCCTGTAGAGCCTGTAGCATGGTGTTTCACATTTGAGCAGAAGGGAATAGGACTAGAACCTCAAGAGAGGTGAAAGAGGCCGCCTGTTTACTGGCCTGACTGCCATATCATAAATAATGTGGACTTGTTCAGTACTTTTCTTTCTGAGTAAGGACTGCCGTGGATTCCATGAACTGCTTTCCCTTAAAGACTGTCCTCTGACCCTATGAGGTTTGAGATGTTTAGACACAGGGAGCTAAGGCTTTCTTCTACTTTGTTGCGAATTGAATATTCAGTTTGAATAGTTTCCTATTTTTTTTTTAACTGACTTTTAAATCCTTCTATAATTCTAATTAAGCTCATCTTCATCTCAGAGCTTGGCTAGCTTTAAGGCAAGAAATAAAGGAAGCTTGCTCGCCAGGCCAGGCTTCCTAAGCTCTCACATCTCTACTTGAATTGATTTGCATTATAATGCACATGGGCAGGAAGATAGGTAAATTGAATGTGTGATTAACTGAGCAAAGAATAAAGCCCATATAGAGTTAACATTATTGCTAGGCTTCTTGCAGGTCATTTCTGAAGGATGGAAACAGGCACTCTCTAAGAATGAATGTATGAAATATGATGATTATCTTATTGAATATAAAACATTTATTACATCATCCAGCTCCTTTTTATTTAACATGAAATGTGTTAAACAATTTCTAAGATGAGAGCTAATAATGCTCTGTGGAGGTAACCCAGTGCTGGCAAGATAGGAAACCCACTGGATCTGGAAATGATCCTTTTAGTACTAACTGGTAGGTACAGCAAAATAATGCAACCCTATGCAGTACACTAGGATTTTTACATAGTTCTGCAAAAACTGAATTAATGGGTTTTTCGGTAATTTGGTAAAAATACATAGCCTACTTACAATTGGCTTTGGGGGAGTGAAGCTTCAAACATCTATCTTAAAAAAAAAATGAACCCTAGATGACTTAAGAAGTAGCATTGTGAAGACATTTTTAAAAATATGACCATGTACCTAGGCAGGTTTTTCTTTTTAGCATGTGATAGCCATGTTGCATGATGTGATAGCACCTAGAGCAAACATTCCTTTGACTTTTGAATTTTGGTTCTCACATTTTTGATGTTTTGTGTAATACTTTGATAATTTAGACTACCATTAGACGTTCACAATACAATCGCTCAGGTAAAGTATGTATTAATCATAACAATAAATATTTGATGCTAATATTTCATTGTCTTTTTCTGTAAGGGTGTCCATGAACAAATTTTGCATCATCAAGTTAATAGTATTTGTGAAACAACATGATACTTCTGGTTTATCCTCTTGGTTCTTTCCATTTTATTAAAGTCAGTCATAATAAGAAAATGTTCACTTCATCGGGAAAAATATCCCATTTGTAATTAATAGCATCCCATATAGAATAAGATTAAACTGTTTTATAATTGAATTACATACAATAAAATGTGCTAGAAATAATGTGTTTATCTATTTAGATAAAATAATATCTTTAAAACAAGACTTGTATTTTTTAAGAAGTCAAGGTTTTTCTTGAATCTGAAAAACATTGTTGCTGGTGTTATACATGCTGTCAACAACATAAGTAAATTAAAGAATATCACTCTTAGTCAAAGAATTTCTAGACATCTGATAGATATGATTTTTTATGAAAACATAAAAAGTGTTCAATTCTGATACCTAACTCAGCTTTCAGCTATAACCTAAGGGACTGAATATTAATACATGGAATTAAAAACATTAAGGCTGATACTACTTTTTTCCTTTTGCAAAAGTAATTTGTAATTACTTGCTAGAGATCTCAGAATACTAATTTTAAAATAGAAGTGAAAATTTATATGATAACATCTAATTTGCCTACTTATATATCTGGGGATTTAATTGGATCACAATTTCACTCTTCTTAACAAGTGGTCCTAGCTGTCAAGGGTAGAAATAAAATTTCAGCCAATCAAAATACAGCATACATAAATGGTCACAGTACTACCATATAATAACACAATTCATGGATTCCATGAACAATCCTAAAATCTTGCCCACTGATAAGAATTTAAAGAACAAGAAATGGTACCAAGTGAATTCTATCATGTAGTAGCAATTCTAATGAGATTTTGAAATTCTACAGACTTACCCAATGTAGCTACTAAACCAAGGCTCTAAATGCTTTTTGGTTCAATTTAGAGTCCTCATGTCCTTCTGCTTTTGACTTTTAAAGTCATCCATTTTAATTGTAAAAATGGACAGTGTATTCACCTTGTCAAAGAGAATCATACAAACCTTTGGAAATAAAACAGAAAAATAATTGTGTTTTTTAAATAAAATGCTAGAGAATTATCTGACAAGGTTGCCTGAGGCTGAGGGTCATTTGCCTCTCTCTGGGAATGTAACTTTGTTTTATTTAGAATTCACCCTTGACCAGGGCTCAGGCATTTTAACAACTCTGGAGCATTCAAAGAGAGCTTTTAGGAAACTAAGGTGTGGGTAATTTTCTCTTATGTCCATAGAAAGTGTAACTCTAATGGTTATATGTTCACTGATGGATAGCTTTAATCAATTTTGCAATTTCATGAACATATTCCACCATTCTGTTCCCGTGGTTGTATACAAGCCCAGTCCCTCAACCCCTTTTTGAACAAGCTTTGCCATCCTGCTGTTTCTCTCATTAATGAGTTGAATAAAGTGTCCACGGATGCTCACTATTAATTGGTAAGAATTATATTTCATTTAATATACTAAGAATTATGTTTTAATAACCTAAAGGCTTTTAACAAGAAGAAATAAAAGAAGTAGAAATATAAGTAGAGAAAGAAGCAGAAGAAGGAGACAGAGTTAAGGGAGGGGAGGTAGAGAGGGAATGCAGCATTTATCTATGGGATTATTCTGGATAGTGCATTCACTCCAGTTATGATAAAATGTTATAAGTGTTTTAAATCTCTTAATCAATAAACTGAAATTGTGCTGCCGAAGAATAATTGCCTTCATTTTTCAAAAATGCATAATCTACAATTGGAGCATATAATTAGACATACGGAGTAGACTTATTTTGAATCAAATACTATTTGATATTAAATTATATGGAGAAGAGCTTTTTTATTCCTTACCCAATCTAACTATTAATATATCAAAAAGGTTTTATTAAACTTTCCTATCATAAATTTCGGTGAGTTTTATCAGGTTATACATGTTTGTACATACATATATCCTTTTTTACTGAAATTAAAATGTTGATTGCCCATATAAAGTCTTCATGGATGAGGGAAAAACTTTGCAAACGATGTTTAAAATGGCATTGCTTACCAAATCAAAAGAAAAAAATACACCAAATGTTGGAGTTTAAAGACAGTGTTGTATTGATATTAAAACCAGAGAACTTCAGGTAAATTCTTTCTACACTAGATATGAATGATACCATACCTCCCTGAAATTAGTATTGGGGGAGAAAAAGACAAACACACACACACACACACACACACACACACACACACACATATATATATGTATATATATATATATGCACCATTTCCTCATTGAGAATCTCTTATATAAAAGAGGTCTGCATATAAAAGACAGTCCAGAGACATCTTTGAAGGTTCTCTTTCAAGGCAGCTCCACTTTCCGGTGTGCCTAGGGATTTCTGTTATTAATTGAAGTTAATTTTCTAGGATATCAGTTTGCGGTGCACGTGGGAAAGATTGATAGCCTCTTGGATTCTCGAGAGTGTTGAAAATGACACTGTTCCATCACCGGGTGCCTTTACTTTTATCATCACAAATCAAATTATAAACATCGGGGCAACCTTGCTGGAATCTGGCTTCAGGAGATTTCCATAAGATTAATTAGGCGGCCAAAGCAAAGATGGTAAAATAGAAAGGGGGAGGGGTGGAGGGAGGAGGGAGAGTTGAACCATTCATTCCTCACAGAATGGAAAGTCAATTCAACAATGGGTAATTAGCGTGGGCCACCGATTCTCAAAGGCACTGAGGACACTGGACTCTTTCTCGCACTCTGATGTTTAGTGCCGTATTGTGGACCCCTCATTTAATTAGTGCACTTTGATACCCACAGGAGTTTGAGGCTCCAGGGCATGCTAAACACAGACTGACACCAGCAAGCTTCTGCCTCCTTCCACTCTAATTAGAGACACAATGAGCTGCAAAGACAATGTTTTACTCCAAGATTTCTTCTGCAGATACCTCTGGCAGGAAACAATCATTTATTTTGTGTCTATATTGGTATTCAGATTAAATTGTTAGCATGCAAAAGATGAGCTAAGGGTATATATCTAGTAAAAATGCTTTGCAGGGTTCAAAAATGATGGGAGCAATTTGTGAAAAAAAAATATTTCCCTTTTGGAAACTATTTATTTTGCTCTCATCTAATTAGAAATAAACTTTAAATCACAATGCATGTTGCATTCTAAAGTAAATGTCAGTACTTTCTTGAAATAGCCATAATCTCTATGCCTAAACAAATGTTTCTAAAATTGTCTAAAAAAAGAGAGGAAGAATAAGAGGGGAACCCCTCTCCTCCTCTGAATTCAATTGCATTGAAATAACTAGCCAGCACTAGGAAAAATGACAGAGGTCATTTTTACAGGAAGATTGCTAATCTGTCTAGAGCTCTTTAAAGAAAGCCCTGAAATATTTGCAGTGCCAAGTTAAAAAAAATTTATAGTGTTAGTTTTGATGGACAGTTCCATGCTGATTGGAAGAATATAAATATCCCAAGGGAGACTGCATATTGAAAATTAATCTCAGCATCCACAAATACTGGTATGTGTTGCTTTAACTATACACTGTAAATCTTGTGCCACTAACATTTAAACACAGGACAAATGTTTCTCTATGTTATTGTTGTCTATGTATTTCTATAAGACACAATCAGCTTCCAAAATAAAATGTCTCAAAGCATTGCCAACCAAATAAATGAGTGCTATTATCTTTTTATGCACCCATTTGTCCACCCAGCTACCTACTTGTCTATCAATCTATATCTAACTTTTCAGAAAATAAAGCCAAAAAGCCCCAAAGGGGGAAAAAAAGAATCCATTCTGAGATTATGTCTCCACAAGATAAATGTGTCCTAACTAACTTTTGGTGCTCTTTGACACTCACAATCTTCCCTCCCCATCTTGATTATTTATTACAAAATGGATCAGAAAGAAAATACATTAGCACAGGAAAGTGGTTTGTTCCATTGCTCAAAGTTGCCCAAATACTTTTGCACAAACATTTTTCTTCAGATCCATTCTGAATTTACATCTGAGCAAAGATTGTTAAGTAGGTTTCATCTCCAGTGCAAAACCCAATAGACTGTGAGGATCTCCTGGGAGGGCAGGTTTAAGAAGGATTGTTAATTCAGTGGGAAATGATGCCATAATTATTTAGCAATGCCTTTCTTTGGCTTGGCTTGAGTTGAGGTGAGAGCTGGAAACAAAGGGACTGGTGATATCAGCTTCATAATTTTTTCAACTCTTTTCTGAACTGATGAGCTATATGTTTAGACCTTCTTTTCTCTCCATTCCAGCTACCAATCACTCTTACAGTTTAGAGAATCCGCATCCACATCTAGGAATTGTGTGGAGCCCATCTGATCTGTCAAGCTAATTCTACATCTCTGGATAGGTTCATTATGCCACTTTAAACTATATCTTAAAACTATAACCTTCTTTAGGCATTTTGGCAAACTATGATCTACGATTGATTTCCTTTACAATAATCTTGCTTGTGAACAGTGGACAGGTTTCATGTGTGGCAAAAATCTCAAAATCAGACATCCAGGCCGACAAATTTTGATAATGGTCTTGATGTGTTATTGATGAACATTTTCATCTGAAAATGCTCCCATATGATTGAGCAGTTCATGAAGTTCTGGTTTAGTCATTAATAAAACATTGCCCTGCTCATGTCCTCTGGTTATTTTTTGCTTATATTCCGATCCTGTCCACATGTCTGGAAAAATCTATACCTATAAAAGAAATATTTAAAATGCATGATTAAGCCTAAATTAAAGAAAACTCTCTTCCTTGTGTATTAGATATTTTCTAATTTGATGATTATGCCTATGTTAAGTACTTTATATTTTAGACAAAAAATATATGTTTCTATATTTTTGGGGAAAGAGTTAGCAGTAACATGTACTATACAATTTCTAGTAATACTTTAGTTTGCATGACTTAAAAGCAGAATACTCTCTCCCAAAGGTAACCTATTCCCCATCTAAGTTGCTGCAGTAACTGCTGAATAATTAGCTAGCAATACCTTACATATTAATGTTTCAAATCATCCATCACTTGAAATCCTGAATTCAGCCTCAGCACTCTTTCCTAAAAAAAGATTCATGCTTCCAGCGAAGAAGGCAGGGGTTCTTTTCAAATGTAACAGAAGACAATGCACTCAAGGAAAGACAATCAGTCCCATTATGAACAGTTTACAAATGGTTAATATGCCTTCATATTTTCTGCATGTCCTATTGAAAATCATCTCATCTATTATTAAGACATGCACTAGATTATAGGTGCTTATGGGCAATTCTTGATTTATTTTTTAAAGCAACAGACTAAGGAAAAATTATTTGAATATGCAACATCCATAGAAAAGTTCAACTCCATTGGTCACAAAGGTGGGCAGTGTTCCCAAATCACCTATTTGCTAAGTAGAATTATATTACATAGATTTGTATTTAGACATCCCTGAAGATAGAAGAATGTTAAGTGCCATGTAGCATTTGGTTAAATGTGACAGCATGGAGCACCACGCTATGACATTATTTTAGATTACAGGCTATGCCAAAAGCCATTTAACAGCACTATCAGAAAGAAGAGACCCCAGTGAAAGGTTTCTCTGCTCATCATACTTGCTTTTTAAAGTTTCCCTTATTTCCATTAGCCTATTTTCTTCCTGTTCTTCCCTATCTTCCCTTTTCATTTAGAAATTCATTTCATTCCCTCCTGTATTCAATGATGCTCCTTGCTTCAGGGGCCCTTTATAGTAATTTATTCCATATGCTTATTATCCTTTGTGTAAAAGAGTTTTGCTTTCTTTTTTCCTTGTTCCAACTTTCTAATTTTCAGATCCTATCTACTCACTTCTCTGGTCTTGAAGCATAAAGAGTTTGCTTGGATCAATTTTATCAATCCACCTTATAATTTTTAAAACTTCAATTGGGTTACATGAAGTCTTTTCTTTTCCACAGAGAACTTGCTCAACTTTCCCCATATTTTCTCATAACTTAAGCATTGAGATCTGGTATCATTCATATAATTGCTCCATACTGTTCCACTGCATAGCAATTAAACCTTGCAAAGGTTTAGTGACCAGCACTGTTTAAATTATATAAGGCAAGGTCTATAAAAGTTCTATCAATAGCAATATTATAATTCTTTCCATTAAAAAGGAGTTGAGTATCCCAAATTACATTCCCTATTACTTAAAAAAATCCTGTATTACGTACTTCAATAAGCATTTATTACCTATCATTTGACAATTAGACGTGTATGTGTGTGTGTGTGTTTGTGTGTGTGTTAATAATCCAGTTAAGCCAGGGAAAGACATACTTCTTCTATGCAAAGCATACTAATGTCTAGATTTCCAGTGTGTTTATGCCCACAGAATTTGGAAGGCTGTTTTGATAAAATCACAGTAAGTCATCTCACAGAAGACTTACTTAAGCTTCTTTTACCCCATTAGATAACATTGGTACATTTTAAGTAAATAGATATTTCCTTTATGAAACTTTCTGCCTATAAGTTTATTTCCAAATGCTAAAAATGTTGGATATTTATATACAACACGGTCAAGTAAACAAGAAATATGCCCTCAAAAAGGTACACTTTAGATAAGGTATTTCTAATTTAAAAAATCATTTACTATGTACAAATTTGAAAGCATTTAATTGAATACCAGTTTTGATTTATAATAAATATTGAAATAAAGTCTTAAAGGTATTAGATGATAGAAGCTTTGAAAACATCTTTGTTAGACTTTTTCTCAGAAAGACAAATAATGCTTATTTTTAAAAGCCTTGTTCTGACCTTTACTTAGTCTGAATTAGGTAACTTGGGAAAAACTAGTTCTCTGATAACTGCACTTACTTAAAAATTGTTCAAATGAAGTTAAATTATAAAATGATTATTTTTAAAGACAATGAAAAAAAATCCTTTTAGAGGTTTTTCTAAACCCAGATGTCTACAAATTGCTTGTATGTAATAGTATTAAAGCTCTGAATGAATATGGATGGAGGGCAGTGTGCAAACTGCCCAGATCCTCATATTATCCTAATGACTTGGAGCAGCAATTCTCAACCGGTTCACTGTCTTCTGCTGTCTGAAATATCACTTTGATGTTCACTGGTACTCCTTATAAAGAGAGGCCCTCTGAACAAAAAATTTCAACACAGACATTCTGAAACCAATATTATTTCCAAAGTGACTTTATTTTTTACTGAAGAGCAAAATGATGGGCGGTTTTGGCAATGGGGTCATGAAAATATTAACTGTTCTTTTCCTTAGACCCGTGGTTCTCAACTCATGGTGCATATTAGAATCACCTGGGAAGCGTTAAAGCATGCTGATGGCCAAATCTAACCTCAGACCAATTAAACTGGTCTTTAAAAGTGGGCTTTGCAAATTGGTGTTTTAAAGCCTCGGTAATACTAATGTGCAATCTGAGTTGGGAAGCATTTATTAATATTTAAACCAGTGGTTCTCACCTGTGTGGAGGGTGCATCTTGTAAATACTAGATGATATCTTCTAGGATGCACAGAATATGGGATGGGAGCCAGGGGCTGTATTTTCAAAAGTTCCTACAGATTATATTGCTATCTATATTATGTTTCTCCATAGAAGAAGCTGATTGGTATGTTAATATGTATTTTTACAAAGCTCATGAAGTGATTCTGGTATGCCCTTCACTCACATTTAAGAATGACTTACATTATTTATCCAAGCACATATGCTTTGAGAATTACAGCTATATGCAGACTCACCCTGAACTCAATATTTTTGGGCTGTGTCAGGGGCTCCCCCAGTGTATTTTTTTTTTCAGAACTGGGAAGACATGCTATTTCTGTTTATCTGTTTCGCAAAGTGTTTCTTTAGAAAAAAATCCTGTGGTGGGATAATAGTTCCTCTGTCTCCCCACCAAAATATATGTTTCTGGGAGCAGTGCTTTGATCCAATAAGATTGGGAGATGTCATTTCAAACACTTCTAAATAGATTTATTTAGTGCATAATTTATCAGAGTCATGTTGATTAGCATTTCTAGAGGTGTGAACTTCAAACTTTAATGTGCATTCAATTGTATTTTGTGGCATGGTGGAAAGAATATTAGCCAGGAATCATACCACTGCTAATAATTAGTCAAAACAGGAAGAAAAGGGACAGGAAATGAATTAATATTTATTGATTTGCTACTATTAAATAATCGGTTTAACATACCTATGAGGTAGGTGATAGTTCTACATTTTATAGATGAGAAAACTAAGGTTCAAAGAGATTAAATAACTTCCTCGAAATCACAGAATTGTTAACTGAGAGCTAGATTCTGAATCCAGGAATGTCTTGTTTTCAAGTCTGTGTTCTTTTCATGGTATCTTCCTTTATTCTTTCCTTTCTTCTTTTAATACATTGAGATGCATAAACTTTAAATGTATAGCTTGAAACATTTTAATAAATGTTTACACTTCAGTAACCATCACTTATAGCAAGACTAGTGTATTTCCATACCTCAGAAAGTTCCTTCATACCTCTTTCCAGATAATAGTCCCTCTCTAAGAATAGGCTATATTTTGTCTTTTATCACCATTGATTAGTTTTCCCTATTCCTGAACTTCACATGAATGGAAATATACATTGTGTGCTCATTTATGTCTGGCTTCTTTCAGTAAATATAATTAATTTGAGATTCATCCATATTGTTATATGTATTTCTCATTTGTTTATTCATTATCACATTGGTGGACATTTAGGTTGTTGCCAGTTTTTTGCCTATGATGAGTACAGCTTTTATAAATGTTCTTGTAAAATATTTTTTTAGTGTACAGGAACACTTTCCTATATTCCTTTAGGGTATGTACCCAGGAATGGAGTTGTTCTTCCATAGGATAAGCATAGATTTAACTTTATTAAAAAATATTGGACAATTTTCCAAAGTAGTGGTACCATGTTCAAAGTATTTGTTCTACCAACAATGGACAATAGTCCCAGTTGGTCCACAATTTCCTTCCTTTTATTTCTTAACTGTCTTTTTATTAATTTCTTTCTAAACATACAAAATCACTAAAAAGGAAAGCATAACACTTCTAAAAGACTATCTTAGAATTGTATGCAAAATTATTGGAAAAAATTTTCCTAACAAGTGGATGTATGCCAATCCTGGCAAATTCTACTAAGGTGATTTTTCAAAACAAACAAACACACACAATGAAATGATCATCACAGAAGCCAGAATAAGGGTTGAATGCAGTTTTGACAAGAAGAGATAAATAGGAATATGAGCAGGCAAGATGCCTTAGAAGAAAAAGAAGGGATAAGCACAGGGGGAGCAGGAGGCATCAAAAACAAATACAAGTGTAGATAGAACAATGACGGCATGTCGCAAGGTGGCTGGGATCTAGAATAGATGAATGCCCCAAAAGGTTTGCTTGGCAGACACTGAGCAAAGGAAGAGTGGCCAGGCAGCATAGCAGTCAGGAATTGCTTACTCCAAATGGGTTCTACTGCTTAAAAACCAAGCCTGGAATCATAATTTAAACATCTATTTCCTAAGATGAGTCTCTTTCCCCAACCCTTGCTTGGTAATGGACTGATGTGATTTGAGCACTCGCTTTTGTTCATCAGTAACTCTCTTTCATTCATCAACCTGATTTTGGTTCAGATGCATAATTTATTCAGTCCTTTTCTCCCATGTGTGCTGAACTCAAGTGTGGATTCCTTCTGGTTTTGCCTCTTGCAATGCTGCCTCAGTGCTCTGGTCTCCCTTTATGCAACATGCTTTGCTTTCTAGGCCAAATATTCAACAACTTCTCTTAGTCAATTTTAAGAGCACAGCAGTATCATCTAAATCTGGAGTTCTAAATCGGTCTCTCCAGGCTAAATTTAATCACAAATCCCCAAAACGCATATAAACGACACTCACAGCATGAGTTTAAAAGTAACTCTTTGAATGACACTAAAAAATAAATAATACTCAGCTGTGCTTATTGACTTCCTATTCTCGTCGATTGGCTCAATTTGGCCATGGGTATTATTTCATGTTTGTGGAGAGTTTGCTACATGCAGCGATATAACATTTAGACCCAGCCTGTTATGACTAGTCCTGTTATGACTAGATCCCATTTGTTTATTTTGGCTTTTGTTGCCATTGCTTTTGGTGTTTTAATCATGAAGTCTTTGCCCACGCCTATGTCCTGAATGGTATTGCCTAGGTTTTCTTCTAGGGTTTTTATGGTTTTAGGTCTTACGTTTAAGTCTTTAATCCATCTTGAATTAATTTTTGTATAAGGACCATCACCTAAATTTTTTAAATTTAAAAATATCCAACTATTTTTAAAGGAAGAAAACATTATAGGACTGTAAAGGAGAAAGCAACACCTGCCTTTTACACAATTTCCACAATCTCATAAAGTATGTACTGGAGTCAAAATCTCCACATACCTTTCATTTTAGTTTTCTATTTAAATACCCACATATGAACTGAGGTCAATCATTACCCACATAATACCGTTCAGATTATTCTATACATTTTTACCTTTTCCATTTTGCATTGTGGGTCTACCCATTACAATTTATGACTGTCAATTAATATATTATGCAAGAAATGCACATACTGTCAAAATCACCAACTTTATAACTTTTTTCTCTCCAATTTTCTGTTTAAAATAAATGAATCAAAGACCTTTTTTTCACCCTAATGTTTTTACTTTAAAAGCCACTCAGCTCTTAATAGAAAGGAATAATAAGTACTAGTTGTAAAATAATCTGTCAATCAATCAGGCACTTACACTTTGGGCAGACCACTCATAGAGCTTTGAAAAGATTTTTTTAAGATACAAATAAAGGAAAATCACAATTAAATTAAACGCAGTTTAGAAAATTCCATTTTGTATTGATTTTATTACTAGAATTTAGGCATGGTGACTGTATTAAGCTGATGTTCAAATGAATGCACTGAAAAACATGAATAGTACATTGACCAGTTAGACCATAGAAAATTATTCCCCCTAGTCCCCCATTCAAGTACCTGGGAGGAAGAGAGAATCCTTTCCTACTTATTTGATCCCCATAGATCTCTTGATTAGTGTTTGGTGTTTTAGTAATTATCTATAATGGGAAAGACGAGATGAGGGAGTCAAATCCCCAGGAATAAAACAGATAATGATATGCTACCTGTCTTTATTTAGGAAGGTACTTTCAAATGATGATGATGTTAAGTGAATATTTGAGGTCATCTGATGTGTTTAATAAGCTATTCCTAAATTCTGTCATTCCTTTTCATTTTTTAGATAAAAACTTTGTGGATATGACTGAACTTTAAGGTTTTTAAAAGTTTTATTTGTGTGTAGTGGGGAGCCTACTTTACCTTCTTCCAGCACATTCTCTAAAATTATGTGCATCAAATAATATTCTCAAACACTGCATTGTTATTTAACCACCAGAAGTATTTGCCCAAATAGTTTGTGTTTGCAAATTTAGAAGCTGGGTTAAGACCATTTCCAAAAATTGGCCCTGGAAATGTCAAGTATATACAGCCTTTAGATAACATCATAAATATTAAAGGGTAGACAACCTATATCATTAAGTTCCATAGACGTGGTACACATATCTGGTCACTTGACACTCAAAAGAGCAAGAAGCTTCAAATTTTTCTTTCAGGTACTTAGAAGTTTGACTTTCGATGTTCCCACCTTAAAGACAATTTATAGCATACCATCACACATTCCTGGGTTTAAAGTTAAATCCAGAGTAAACTTTTCCTTTTTTCTTTTTTTTTTTTAATGTAAGTGCACATTTTGTCTTCCATTGGCCTGATAAGATGTTTGCTTGGAGAAAACCTCAAGGCCAAGGCTAATCTTCAGGGCTCCCTTGCATTGGCCTCTGAGGGATGGGTGTTTTACGTATCTACCCCTTACAGTACAGCTCTAACTGCAGCAAGCCAGAATGGCCATTGCTTCCTACTATCTATTTTAAAAATATACAATGCAGAGTAAAACAAAGATAGACAGTTTGGAGTGTTAGAAATGGGGAGATTTGGATTTCATGACATTTTTATATTTTTTCATAGGCTGTGTTCAGAATATAACATGGCAAAAGTTGATAGCTACTAAGCAGAGGTCTCAGATGCTATATGAGAAAGACAGGCTTTAAAAAACAGTTTTGGAAAGAAAAATTCCTTGGGGCCCTTTTCTTACTTACTCAAAGGTAAATAAAAATAATAAAAATAGCACCCCAAATAATGTACCTTAAGCTTCACAAAATGGTTTGGCTCAAACTTTCTTACTTTATCTTTAAAATATCATGTGTGGTTTGCATTATTATTCTTATTTGCATAAGAGAACCCTGGAAGCCAGAGAACTACAGAGTATGTCACAAAATGTTACACCATTAGTAAGTGACAGATTCAGGATTCAAACACATAAGATTTAATTCTAAAGCCCAGGACATTTTACTAAGTATTTTGAAATTAAAATATTTTCATTTATTTTAATTATGAAAACTATCTCCAAGTATATCTGAAATTATTGGAAATGTCACAAGGTTTGTGTGATAGGGAAATTTACATTTCTAAACTTTAGTATTTCTGGACAAATAAAAAAAGATATAGCTTTGTGAACTTTGACTTTATTTTTCTAATCACTTTTACCTAAGGAATATTTTACATTTATCTGTGACCACAAGGAAAGAGGGTTTTTACTATGTGGACTTAACTTTTTTTGGGGGCATCAATTTTCTTTTGTGGGTTTTTAGTAAAGAAATGGGGTCATTTTCTTCAAACTGTTAATTTGAAATTATTAGTGTTATTTTTTATTTGAGCTACCTTATCACCTGGGCATAACAAGCTTCATTCCTAGTGCAAAGGGCTGCACAACACCTCTGAGCATAATTCAAGACAGAGAAAAAGAGCAAGGGCTACTTTTTCAGTATAGTGGAAAATGTGGCTTTGTGCTGACTCCTTTTTGGGACTTTTAAGGTCAACCTCTCTGATCTTATCTGAATATTTGATTCTGATCTTTCCTCTGACTGTGGGCTTGGCTGCAATGCCCTGTCACACCTTAAATTTAAAATAAAAGAATTAAAATAAAATAAAATAATTAAAATAAAATAAAATAATAAGATAAAAAAGAGGTTTGGGACACTAGGGAGAAAATGAGTTCAGAATTTCATCCAGTCCTCTATCAGTTGGCCAGAGCTGTCATAACAAAGTACCACAGACTGGGTGGCTTACACCACAGAAATTTATTTTCTCATAATTCTGGAGGCCAGAAATCTGAGATTAAGGTGTCAGCATGATTGATCTCTTCTGAGGCCTCTCGCCTCACCTTGCAGATGGATATCTTATCCCTGTGTCTTCAGACGGTTTCCCCTCTGCGTCTGGTGGTGCTCTAATCTCCACTTCTTATAAAGATATCAGTCATAATGGTTTAGGGCCCACTCCAACGACTGCATTTTGACTTAATTACCTCTTTAAAGACTCTATTTCCAAACAGAGTCACATTCTAAGGTACTACAGGTTATAGCTACAATGTATGAATTTGGGAGGGTCCAGGCCAGGGACAAAATTCGACACTTAAGAACCTCTGGTTTACTTCACCTCTCTCCCTTGAGGGAGGAGTTGCTTACCCAGTTGGTCAGCTCCCAGGACTCCAAGGGGGCTACTGTACCAGGTGGTATCACAGGGCAGTAGGAAGTCATGCATGTGGGTATGGCTAAATGACATCTCACCTTTCTTTCTTGCACTCATGCTAACAAAGTAGCACGTGACCCAAGGCCTGACCTCAAAGGGCTTTCTTTTTTGATTCCTCCACTTGTGTGACAAGAGAGGAAAAGGACCAATAAAGAAGAGTATTATTATAATTTTCCACATTGGCAAGCAAAAATCACATTCAAATTCTGTTGAAAAGGATGTCCAGGTTTTAGAAGAAAAAAGAAAAAAAAAATCTCTCTTGGCCACATGGTCCCTTCCAGCTTTGGCATTAGCTCTCCCTCTCGCTCCCCAGATACAATTCTGAAATCTTCACTTTCTCACCTGTCCTTCATTTTTTTCCTATTGCAAACTGGTTTACTCTTCAGTCAGTTTCATAATACTGCTCTCTTGAAGATCAACATTGAATCTCTAATACCACATTCAACAGACAAGTTTATCTCCTTATTTTTCTCATTAAATTTCACACTGCAATTTTTTTTTCTTTCTCCAATCTATTCTGAAATCGAGTTTGTTAGTTCTAGTTTTGAGATTAGTGTTACTTCTGGTAGGTTTTTAAAATTACTGTGCATTGGTATTGTATATCCTCTGTTACCTTGAGTTCTATTTTGCCTGGTATTAAAAGTACTAAATTAGTTTATTTGGCTAGTGTCTGGCTGGCATAAATTTTCCCAAGACTTTAATAATATAATATAAATTGTTCTCTATGGTTTTGGTTTCCGTCCCTTTAAAGATAATCTGTTTTTCTCTCTAAGTGATCTTCTTTGTGTCATTAATTTCTGCCATTTCACTATGATGAATCGCAATTTTTATTTTTTACGAGTCATTTTACCCTCCTTGCAATTACACACACACACACACACACACACACCTTCTATATCTCCTCACATTATCATTTGTCTCTTAACCATTCTTTCATGTTTTCTACTTCTGTCTCTATGTGCCACATTCTGAGTAATTTCTTTATCTGTGTCTTCCATCCACTAATTTTAAAAATCTATTTATACTTAAATTACCGCTAATTCTTCCCATTAATTTGTTTTTCATTTAAATAATTATGTATTTTATTTTATATAAGTTCTATTTGTTTCTCAGCTAGATAAGATGACTTTCCAGTCTTTTCATATTTGTTCACATTTGTAGCCTTTTTTATATTTTTAAGCATATTGAACATACTAATATTCTGTTTCCTGACAATCCTTATAATTGAAGACTTGGAATTTAATTCAGTTGCCTCTTTGTTTCTGTTCTTTCTTGCTTATAGTGTCTTATTTCCTTGTTTTGCAGATTTTGATGATATGTTTACTTTTCTTGAAACTTTATCTGTGATCATTCAATGAGAATGAAGACAGATATGTTTCTTCAGAAATACCTGAAATTGCTTCTCCTAGCCATCTGTATTAGTCAGGGTTCTCTAGAGGGATAGCACTAATAGGTTAGATGTATATATAAAGGGGAGTTTACTAAGGAGTATTGACTCACAGGATCACAAGGTGAGGTCTCACAATAGGCTCTCTGCAAGCTGAGAGCAAGGAAGCCAGCCTGAATCCCGAAACTGAAGAACCTAGAGCCCAATATTCGAGGGCAGGAAGCATCCAGCACGGGAGAAAGATGTAGGCCAGAAGACTGAACCAGTCTAGTCTTTTCATGTTCTTCTGCTTGCTTTTATTCTGGCTGGGCTGGCAGCTGATCAGACCATGGCCACTCAGATTAAGGGTGGGTCTGCCTTTCCCAGTCCACTGACTCAAATGTTAATCTCCTTTGGCAACACCCTCACAGACACACCCAGGAACAATACTTTTCATCCTTCAATCCAATCAAGTTGACACTTAATATTAACCATCACACCATCTGAGGACACTATCGAGCCAGGACCACCTTATAGTTATGAAATACCTTATTAGTTATTTATCGGAGGCTCTTGATCTATCCTTCATGTCTTGCAATACTCTTTTTCCTCCTCTTCCTCCTCTACTTCCTCCTCCTCCTCCTTCTCTTTCTTTTACTCTTGTACTCTGTGTGCTATATTCTGGGTTAGCCCCTCAGAAATCTGTTGTTTCATCTTTTTTTTTCTGTGCTCAGTTTGGAGTTTCTTCTAGGTATACATCTTTGTATTTTAATAATTTTGTTTCATCTAAGATTTCAAATTGATTCCCTTAATATTCTCAAGCTAATTATTTATTTTGTATGAATGTTAGATTTTTCAGCCTCCTAAACATATGCTTTAAAAGCATATTTTCAGACTGTACTATTATTTCAATTTCACTTAAGAAGAATTGATCTCTGGTTGTATACTTTTGGCTATCTTTTTAATGTTTTTTGTAGGATCTCTCCTACTTTCTCTCCACTGTTGCTCTCTCTTACTTTCACTCTTACTCTTTCTCCATAACTTTCTGTCTAATGGTGTTGCATTTACTGTAGTTCCAAACCCATAACCAAATCCTGAAATGCATTCTGCACTAGGGTACTGTTGGGGCTCTTGCATACGAGTCCCAAACAATTTATTTCAGTTTCCTTGTGATGCTGTGTGTATTTTCACCTGCTTCCCCGGGCATGAAAGCATATAAGCACAGTTCCAGTTCCTGTATTATTAGCATCAGGGAATCCACAAAATCCCTAGGTTTCAAGGGGTCCCCTTAATCCATATGAAATATTTTAATTCCAGTTCTCTACATGAGCTAATTCTTGGCTGCCTCTGCTTTCTCCGGACCTTGAGTTGAGCAGGTTCATTGCTTCTGTCTACTCTTTGTGTTGTTTGTTTGCTCTACAGGGAAGTTATCTTCTTTTTGTTCCAGGTTGGGTCTTTATTTTATTGTTTTATATTTTGTCATCACAATGTGTTTGGAAACATGGGTTTAACCAAAAGTATGAACTTACAAAGTCACCCTTGCTAGAAGTCCAAACTGTTTCTTATCTTGCTACTTTTTTTTTCCTAAAACACAATTTTGAGCTTTTTACTCTTTTACCTAAAATAATTTGAGTCTAAAAGTATAAACCGGGTAGAATAGTAACCTCTCTGGTTCAGAAATATTAAAGGAAGGTTTTTATTAATATTATTATTTTAAAAGCATTATTTGAATTCTTGGTGACAACAAATTTCCATAGTGAATCTCAAAAGTGTAGTTCTTTAGACCTTGTTGAAAAAGGTCTGGAGATAATGGCATCAATGTATGAATGTCCAATTTAACCAACAATAATCCATTTTATGATGTTCCCATGAGAATTAACTTGACAAATTATATCTTCCTGTTTAGGTTTTCATATTGAAAGATAAGCTAGGTAGCCATTTATGATTCTATCATAAAAATAGTATCTGTCTTCAAGTAAATTTGATAAGAATGCAGAAAGCTGACATTTCCATTATATGCAAATTTACCAATTTGAAATATCTTTAATTATAATCTTTTCAGATGGATTCTATCAGCTGGTCTTTGCAAGATGTCTTAATACATTTAAAGAGTTGGTGTTGTATCAGTTTCCTATTTTTGCTGTAACGATTTATTACACAGTTAGTGGCTTAAACAACACAACTTTATCACTGTGTAGTCATAGAGATCAGAAGTCTGACCTAGGTATCACTGGACTAAAACCATGGCGTCTGAAGGGCCGCATTCTTTCTGAAGGGTCTAGGGGAGATCTATTTTTTGTCTTTTCCAGATTCCAGCTTGTCTCCAGGCCCCTTCTTCCATCTTTAAAACATAGTATCTTCAAGCCTTTCTCTCACACTGACCCCTCTTTTGCCTTCCTCTTCCATCTTTTCAGGCTCTCAATAATTACACTGGATCCACCTAGATAATCCAGGATAATCTCCCTATTTCAAGGTCAACTGATTAACAACCTTAATTCTGTTTGTAATCTTAATTCATCTTGGTCATGTAAGATCTTAAAAATTCTGATACTAACAACGTGGAAGTATGAGAAAACACAAATATCAGTGCAAATTAGGCATTCTATTCGATTGTAATTCTTTGGTATGCTCTGTCTGCTAAGGTTCAAATTTATTAAACCATAAAATAGGTTTTTAAAGTTTCAGAATACCCATTTTTGAATATATTTTTCTCTCATGAGTATAATTTATATAAGTATTTTGTTATTTTTCTGGATGTTAAATTTAAATTAAATAAAATATTTCAACATCTTTATTTTGCTTGCTGCATTTGTATTTTTGGACCATTTAAAAGAGATTTATTTTAAATTTAAGCACATCATTAATCTAAAAAACTACACACAATTTTTCAAAGAATATTTTCTGAAGTCATAGTTTACATTTCTTATAAAGATGTTATATTTAAATAGATTTATTTTTGTTGATGTTTATTTTTCTACTACAATGAACAACTTTTTGTTTAAAGCTAACAAATCATGAGAATTACTAATCAAACTCAATGATTTTTGAAATATCTGCCATTAAGCAGACAACGAGAATTTTCTAAATTTTAATTGTTTTTGAACTAATGTCTTGTTTTCATGGAAATGTTATAAAATAAAGCACTAGTGCTAAGATACTATTTCAGGATTTTATCACAAAATACACATCTTACACAAAAAATAATTCAAAAAATTTGAAGTGTCACAACCGCAAAATAAAGAATATACAATCTGATTGTTCCTCTTAAGAAAGCCTGAAAAACTGAATAAAAAATATTTTTAGAGAGTTACCTGAGGCCGGGTGCAGTGGCTCAGGCCTGTAATACCAGCACTTTGGAAGGGTGAGGCAGTTGGATCACTGGAGGTCCAGGAGTTCGAATCCACCCTGGCCAACATGGTGAAACTCCATTTCTACTAAAAATATAAAAATTAGCCGGGTGTGGTGGTGGGTGACTGTAATCCCGGCTACAAGGGAGGCTGAGGCAGGAGAATTGCTTGAACCTGGGAGGCAGAAGTTGCAGTGAGCCAAGATTGTGGCACTGCACTTCAGCCTGGGCAACAGAGAGAAACTGTCTAAAAAAAAACCCATAATAATAATAATAATAAGGCCAAATATTAAGGAAAGGCAGAAAGTCAGACAGTTCAGCAGAAGGACATGGAAAATTGCTTTTGTGTGTACTGAAAGACAATAGCTACAACATGTTGTGAACTTTTTAAATGCAAATCTAAATAAATCATAGAAAAAAGGCAATATCATGGTGATGACTAGAAAATGTTTAAGAACAAGAATAATAATGAAAATATTATGTATGAAAACTTATGGAATGCAGGTAGGCAGTGTCTAGAGAGACATTCATAAACTTAAAATGCCCAAGTTAGAAAAGAAGAAAGGCTGACAATTAATGAACACATGATCAAGTCAGGGAAGCAGGACCAGTATACATCTAAAGTAACTTGAAGGAAGGAAAATATAAAATGGGAGAAAAAATTGATGAAACAAAACAAAATATATAAAGGATCAAATAAGATATATTTTGCCCTTCAATCGACTTCCTACCCGCCCCCCCAAAAAAACTGATAAAATTTCCTAACCTATGGAAAATCTCATGATAAATCGAGAAAAGCTAAAACAACACTAGTAATGTGAAAAGGGACGTAAATATAGAAAATACGGTGGTAAAAATACAAGAAGAGAGTAGGAACATCTTTGTGGCAAGAAACTTGAAAACTTAAATGAGAGGACAAATTTTTACACCAACATAATTCTACAAAGTAAATGATGAGAATGTGCATGAGAATACATAGAAATGGATATGTGGAGACGTTCAGCACTTTTAACAGGATTAAATTGGTAGCTTAAAATTGTTCCACAAAGAAAACTTCAGGCCTAAGCAATTTTAATAATAAGTTATTCCAAACATTCAATGAATTAATGGGATAATTTTATTTATTTAATTTTTTTGATAAAATAATTTTAAACAAAGTCTTTCAGAGTATATGAAGATATTTCCTAATTCATTTTATGAGAACAATTTAACCTTGGTGGCAAAGCCTGACAAAGATGAGAAAGAAAATCTTATGCCAACTTCATACATAAACATAGATGCAAAACAAAATATTAGTAATTAAATTCAGCAGTTTAATTGTGTAACCAAACAGAGGGAGTGAAGGAGAAGAGGAAGCGGGGGTGGGCCGGAGAAAGAAAGAGAGAAAACAAGCTGAGTTTGTTCATGCAAGGCAATGCAAGTTTGCTTAAATGTTAAAAATAATCAGTTTTTGTAATTTATTATATTAGAAGCTAAAAGGAGTAAAATCATAGGTTAACTGCAAGGATACAGAATAGGTGTTTGAGAAAGTATTTTAAATGTTTTTCTTTCACTTTTGCCTATATTCAAAATTATCTGCAAAACCAGGCATTACTTTCACAATCAAAAAGAAATAATAACATTTTAAATTAAATCTCATTATCTAAAGTGGAATTCTTCATCTTCCTTCCCAAATGCTCTTCACTTACTGACATTTCTATCACTACAAATGGAATCATTTTTCTGGTTGTCCAGACTTCCTACTCTAGTGAATGATTTCTTCCTCTTGAGTTGGGGAGATGCTGGAGGGAAGGATGATAGCTGGAAACAATACTATACTCGTTTCTGATTGGCCAGACCTGTATCTCATGCCTCTACCCTGGAGCAATGGTGTAGCTTAACTTGAACCACATACATCAAAAATAGGGGAGAGTTGGCACCTTAAAAAATATTGTGGTACTGCTTGCAGGAGAAGAATAATGTATGCTGGAAAGTTTTTATTTTTTAACTTAAGAAAAAATGTAAAGCTTACTATGAAGCTTCTGCCTGTTGTTTGGAGATGTATATGCCAAAGACTACCAAAACATACCCCTTATTTTTGCCTGCTCATTTTAATCTGACAATTGGTTTACAGTTTATTTAGATTGTGTGTTTCATTCAGGCAAGGATTATGCCATTCATATTTTTTACTCCCAGTACCTAGATAGTGCCTAACAATGACATTGAGTTGCTTGCATTTGTAAGCTAATCATGTTCCTTTCATGTGATATTGACTTTATTGTCTTCTTAAACAGTTATTTAAACATTTCATGTTCCAAAACCTCACTTATACTTATTTCTGCATCTTACAGAATTACTGATCTCAGAATCCTAATGCTAATGCTTTTTATAGTTTTCAAAAATCTGAAAATATTTACTACACTAAACAAAAAAGAGGCTATAAGTATGTTTAAGCCATTTCCATTCAAAAACTATTCCTTCAGTACAAATGAGTTTGCATTAAGCAGCAAGCAATAGAAAACTCAGTGGGAATACACTTCCCTTACGAACCTAATAAGCTTTTCATCTATTTTTTTTCTAGTCAATTCCATGTGCTAATAACTACCATACAAAAGTTTTGCCTTAAAAATGCTTCTCAAATTTTAATGTTCTTATCAATCACTTGGGAATCTTGTTAAAATGCAGGTTCTGATTATGTAAATCTAGACAGAACTTGAGATTCTAATAAACTCTCACATGATGCCAATGTTGTAATGACAGTGAGGAGTCTACAGTTACTCTTACATTTACAGAATTATCGGCCAGGCCCAGTGGCTCACGCCTGAAATCCCACACTTTGGGAGGCTGAGGCAGGTGGATCAACTGAGGTCAGGAGTTCGAGACCAGCCTGGGCAACATGGCGAAACCTCATCTCTACCAAAAATACAAAAGTTAGCTGGGCATAGTGACACATGCCTGTAGTCCCAGATACCTGGGAGGCTGAGGTAGGAGGATTGCTAGAGCCTGGAAGGCAGAGGTTGCAGTGAGCCAAAATCACGCCACTGTACTTCAGCCTGGGTGACAGAGTGAGACCCTGTCTCGAAAGAAAGAAAGAAAGCAAAGAAAGAAAGAAAGAGAGAAGGAAAGAAGGAAGGAAGGAAGGAAGGAAGGAAGGAAGGAAGGAAGGAAAGGAAGAAAGAAAAGAAAGAATGAAAGAAAGAGGAAAGAAAGAAAGGAAGAAAGAAAGAATTATCAGCACTTAGATTTGGTGTACTGATCAACCCCTTCGTTCTCAGTTTTAATGGTCTCTACATGAAGGCTTTAAAAAGTAGATTTGGGTTAAAAAAAAATAGACTTGAGTGAAAGAAGCCACCCATAATCCTATATTTGTTCCAGTTTGACTCCTTTATCTTTTATAGATCATTCAATGAGAGACTGATTTTATTAGTCCTATGTCCTAGTTATCTTTTTCTTCCCTACCTCTGCAAGGTTGCCAAACTTCTAGATTTCTAGAATGAAGGGTAAGATCCTTACCTTTGCCCTTTGCCCTACCTCCTTCATTCAGTCATTTCCACATTTGGGAGTTTTGTTTCTTGTTTTGCACACAATAAGTTTACAGGCAAAGCAATTCCATGAGTGACTAATTCAGTGGCTTAACAACATTATCAAGGATCTAGGTTGTTTTCATCTTTCCAGTATGCCATCCTCACTTTGTTAGCTTATGCACTTAAGCTAGTGTCCTTCATTTTCTCAAGATGTTTGCTTTAGATCCAGGTGTCAAATGCACATAACAACATGCAGAGGCCAGAAAGGGTCTGTTCCTTTTATACATAACCTTTTAGGAGGAGGACTCATTTCCAAGAAGTCCCTCAGCATATTCTATTAAATCTCAGTTAAAATTTTATTACGTATCCTAGCAAGGAAAAACACAATCATGACTGGCTTAGAATAGCCTAGTGTTCTATTTTTTTTTGTAGTATTTTATTTGTAATACTCATCTCTTGTGACTGGGTAATAGTAACCCTACTTGTTTTCTGGCACATGGATACGACTTCTCAGAAGAAAATCAGAGCTCTGCTGGCAGAAAAGATGGAAGGTAATGAATGTATATTGTACTCCAGTCCCACTCAAGGGTGGCCCTAAAAAAAAGTTGACCCCTCCCATCAGAGAAGGCAGCTCTCATGGGTACAACTACATATTCTACATAAAGATTTACCTTCCCTGCCTGCAATGCTCCTGCAAGCAGCACTATTCATGAACTCGTAGAATGACTTGATCAACTGCCATTTTCCCCTATATGTCTTCTCTGACTAGGACCGCATTTTATAGCAATGGTAGCCAGTTTGAAAGAACAGTGGAATGGCCCACTAAAGGCTCAGTTACAGTTCAAACAAGGAGACAACACCTTGTGAGGTGAGGATTGTATTCCTACATAGTGAGGTATATGTTTTAATCCAGCAACCAATTTAGGCTTCATTAATAGGATGTGTAAGTCTGTGAGTTAAAGCGTAGAGGTGGAAGTGGCTCTTCTCACCAATTACTCTTTTCTTTTTTTTTTCTTTTTCTTTTTTTTTTGAGACACGGTCTCACTCTCTCACCCAGGCTGGAGTGCAGTGGCACGATCACAGCTCACTGCAGCCTTGACCTCTCAGGCTCAAGCGATTCTCCTGCCTTCTGGCCTCAGCCTCTCAAGTGGCTGGGACTACAGGTATGCACCACTATGCCTGGCTAATTTTTCTTTCTTTTTTTTTTTTTTTTTTTGTACAGATGGGATCTCACTATGTTTCCAAGACCAATCATGAAATCCTGGGCTCAAGCAATCCTGCCACCTTGACCTCCCAAAGTTCTGGTATTGGAAGCATGAATCAAAGTGGTTAGCGCCCCCACCCCCCGCCCCAATTATTCACACAGTAGAAGAAATTTTGCGTCCTGTCCCAAATAATGTGGTTCAATAATTTGAAGGTCATAATGCCCAAATGCTTCCATGAGTCAATATCAACATCTTCCCAATGAACTGGAAGCTAAAACAATTCCCAGGACATTTTGGGCATCTCATGCTGCTGAACCATCAGGCAGAGAAGGTGGAGATCACTACACTCTCCTGGGTGATTTGTCACAATAACTAGAAACAAATTGGGTTACTGTTACTTAGTAGAATAAAAAAGACTGTGTTTGGAACTTAGAGGCATCACTGGGGTATCACTTGAAACTCCCTTGCCTAATTATCCTTAGAAAACAGTGCTAATCCATGTGCTAAGACATGACCATCAATTGCTTAGAATCTATGAGAATAAACGTATGAGTCACTCCATCAGATCCAAAACTCTGCATAGGTAAAAGGGCTGGCACAGGATAAGGAAAGCAAAGAATCATAGCATAGTTGTTATGCTAATGATAACATAACTTATGTTATTACTAATAGTTGATAGCTATTTTCTTTATTTTGCACTGCTACATTATCTGAAGAATATTAATTGTGGCTAACATTTTAGAATTTTAATTAACAATTGTCCAATTAACTATCTCAGGGTGCCCTTGGATTCCTCTAGAGATCCTAACTGATTCGTCTGCCTTAGGGAATCTCATCTCTTCCCATGGGTTTATTTTTCACCAGCATGCAGGGGAAGTTCTGGCTCTGACTCTGCCATAAGCTGCAAACATTGATATCCCATTGCCTACTGGTTGTCTTCAACTTAGGTTATTAGTTTTCTTCCTCAAATCCCGTAGTTGTTGCTATTCTCACTGAGCCAATCGACTAACCTAGGTAATCATCTTAGATTATTTCTTTCTCTTCTTTCCTTATGTCCAAGGCAATTATCTTATTCTGTCTAATGAAATATGTAAATATTCATTGTATCCCATTCTCAAAATTATTACAGCGACAGCCTAGGTTAGTTCCTTATTTTATCTTGTTTGGATTATCAAGAATATAATCAAAATAAAAATGGGACCTTAGTTACCATATGGAATTACATTCAAAGAAACAGCAATCAAGAAACAAAAAGCAAAACAAAGCCCAGAACCTTTAATCTCATCTAATCAGTTATAATCTACTCAATATTTTAATAAATACCAAAGGACAGAAAGAATATTACTAATAAAAAGGAATTATATTTTAAATTCCTCCATCCAATCTCTGTCTCTTTACCTCATGGTTCATGTGGATGATAGCTTCTTCTCTCAAGCACTGCATCCCTTCTCAAAACTAAACTCTGGTATATCTTTTTACCCAGCTTGTGATTTCTTCTTTTTCCAGTATTGTCCCTTAGAAGAACTTAGTGCTATGTGGGAATATCTAGACTCTTCCTTACAAGCTGGAGAGAAAGGAAAAAGGGCTGTGGGGTAAAGCAAAGAAGGGGTCAGTGTATTAGACTCCTATGTTTTCCCCTAGAGAACTAATGATACCTGGCCAGGCGTGGTGGCTCACGTCTGTAATCCCAGAACTTTGGGAGGCCGAGGCTGGTGGATCACCTGAGGTTAGGAGTTCGAGACCAGCCTGGCCAACATGGTGAAACCCCGCCTCTACTAAAAATACAAAAAAGGTTAGCCGGGCCTGGTTGCAGGCACCTATAATCCCAGCTATATGGGAGGCTGAGGTAGGAGAATCACTTGAACCCAGGAGGTGGAGGTTGCAGTGAGCCGAGATCTCACCATTTGCACTCCAGCCTGGGTGACAAGAGTGAGACTCCATCTCAAAAACAACAACAACAACGAAGGAGAATTAATGATACCTTTTCCTGCTATATGGAAACTCTTCTCTGCACATCCAAACATCAGCATCTTACTCTCCACACAAATTCCGCTTTCTCCCTCCTGTTGGGTCAAATAACATTACTTCTGGCAATTTGTGGAGTATGGACTAAATTTGTCTCATTGTCTGCAACAAATGTTGTAAATATGGACCATCTCCACCTCTTCTGGTGTCTGCAAAGGGCCAGAGACAGCATTAGTAGTCATTGCTATTCTGTTTGTGATCTTTCTTGCTACACTGGAAAAAAATTGGTAGGCTCATTCTCCAAACTTGATCTAAGTTGATTTTAGGAGATTTCCTGGCGGAGAGTGCGAAACCTGATTATCGGTACTTACTAGTGAGAGGTGACAACGTGCTAGCAGCCCTCGCTCACTCTCGGCCTCTCCTGGGCCTCGGCATCCGCTCTGGCCGCCACTGCACTGTGGGGGCCCCTCTCTGGGGCTGGCCGAGGCTGGAGCCGACTCCCTCTGCTTGCGTGGAGGTGTGGAGCGAGAGGCGCCTGCGGGAGCCGGGGCTTCTGGTGGCGCTCACAGGCCTTCAAGAGTTCCGGGTGGGCGGGGGCTTGGCGGCCCCACACTGGGCGTGGCTGGCCAGCAGCTGCTGGGCTTGATTGCGGGAGGAGCTCCAACTGGGCTGCCGGAGTGCCCGGGCTAGGCGCCACAGGCGAGTGCCAGTGAGAGGTGAAGCCGGCTGGGCTTCTGGGACGGGTAGGGACTTGGAGAACTTTTCTGTCTACCTGGAGGATTGTGAATGCACCAATCAGCACTCTGTGTCTAGCTAAAGGTTTGTGAATCCACCAATCAGCACTCTGTGTCTAGCTAGAGGTTTGTAAATGCACCAATCAGTACTCTGTGTCTAGCTAATCTAGTGGGGACTTGCAGAACTTTTGTGTCTAGCTGAAGGATTGTAAATGCACCAATCAGCCTTCTGTGTCTAGCTCGAGATTTCTAAATGCACCAATCAGCACCCTGTCAAAATGGACCAATCAGCTCTCTGTAAAATGGACCAATCAGCAGGATGTGGGTGGGGTTGAATAAGGAAATAAAAGCAGGCTACCCGACGGAGCCCTGGCAACCAGCTGGGGTTCCCTTCCAGGCTGTGGAAAATTTGTTCTTTCTCTTCACAATAAATCTTGTTGCTGCTCGCTCTTTGGGTCTGTGCTGCCTTTATGAGTTGTAACACTCACCGTGAAGGTCTGCAGCTTCACTCTGAAGTCAGTGAGACCATGAACCCACCAGAAGAAGAAACTCTGGACACATCTGAACATCTGAAGGAACAAACTCCGGACACACCATCTTTAAGAACTGTAACACTCACTGCCAGGGTCCGCGGCTTCATTCTTGAACTCAGCGAGACCAAGAACCCACCAATTCCAGATACACTAGGAGCTCTCCTGCTGAAGGGCTTATTTCAGGAGGTTCATCTCTACCTGCAGTGCTTCATGAACTCAATTTCCGTTCTTGAGGGCATCCATGGTTGTCTTTCTTCCTTCTTAGGTCTATTAGCTAACTTTGCCAATAGTGAGAAAACTAAGGGTCCTTCAGTTTTAAGATGACAGATAAGACTGTCCAATTTTTTACTGCAAATCCTCACAAAAGAGCCAACTCCAAATTATTCTGAATTTCTGTTGTGTGGACTGTAATGGCTGTCTCTCAAATCTGATTTTTTTTTTAATGTGAGGGAGTATTCTTTGTTCATTGGTGCACAATGAGGCATTTAACACATGAGTTTCAGACATTCTCTGCTCTGCTTTTTAACAACTACAAAACAGTCAGTCACCATGATGGAGATCCTGGTGGTCTTGAGTCCACGAATTTTCTCTAGTACTGGGTCTTTGGATTTTGACTTCAATACTCAACATTTCTCTGCCTCTGATGCCTGCCACTTCTGTAGAATTTCAGCAGCATGTTCCAATCATGAGGCAAACGGATTCTTCTCTAATCCTGGAATGGTAATCCCTGTGAATTCCTGATCCTGTGTTTATGCTGGCAATTAATCTATTCCAGTTGTTCTTCAGCCTACCTGACCCATGGTAGGCACAAAATCCACCAGGGGGTCATGTTTCTGCCCTCTTTCTAAGGGTAAGTCTAATTTCTTGATAAATTTGATGTGGATTAAAACCCGATTTTCACCCTGTAATTTGGACAGAAAAAAAGTAGAAAACTAGGGCAGTCATTGGAATGAAAAAGTACGATTAAGGGAAATATTTTTAAGATAAGTGAAAATTAAGCCATGTTATACTGGCTTAATTAGGAAGGTTTCATTGCATGAATGAGAAATTAATGTTTCGGGGCTGAGAGAGAAATATCGTAGAGGCAAATTCCAAGAGAAAGGGAGAGGAAATGGCATGCAGGGCATGTATGAGTGGAAGAATATCCCTTTGAATGGAGTAAAATCCCTTTAATTGATAGAGTGGCTGGCAGAGAGTCTATTTGCACTGTTGCTACTTCAACTCCTTCCATCTTCAGTTCAGTCATCCCCATGACAGTACTAAGTGAATTTTGTCAAAGTCATCAATTGTCTTCATCTTGACAAGCCAATAACAATTTTCGGCTTTTATTTTTATGACCTTTCACCAGTATATAAACTATTTGACTACTCCTTTATTCTTAATCCATCTTCTACTCAAGGTGACTTTTCCTCAATTTCTTTTCCTTGTTTTCCCTTCTGTGCCAGACTTTTCAATGTCAGAATTTTTCAGGTCTCTGTTCTTCACCTTTTCCTTTCTCTTTCTACAGTCTTTGCTTCAAATAATATCTTTGTTCTGATGAAGTTCAAATTTACACCTCTCACCCAGATCTTTCCTAAGTAGACATTTTGTTCTTCTTATATTGATATCTAACAGGTCATGATCAATTTATCATGACTAACACAAAACTCTGGACTTCCTACCTTATACCCACCCTCTTTCCATTCAAACACACACATCTTCCCAAGCCACCAGTAAATTGGACTGCACCATTGTCCTCCCAACTGGTTGCTTGGTCTTTACAATACCCTCCTCCCTGCACCATGACTTACTTACATAGCAGCAAGAGATATCACTTCATAGCTGTTAGAATGGCTATTATTAAAAAGACAAAAGATACCAAATGTTGGCGAGGATGTGAAGAAAAGCGAACTGTTGTGTATGGTTAGTGGGAATGTAAATTAGCACATCTATTATGGAAAATATTATAGAATTTCCTCAAAAAAATTAAAACTAGAACTGCCACTTTAACAATCCCATTTCTGGTTATACAAACAAAGGAAATGAAATCAGCATGCTGTACCATAAAGACACATGTTATGCTACCAATATATATTTATTGTGGCACTATTCACAATGGTAAAGAAATAGAATCGAGGTAGGAGAATGGCGTGAACCTGGGAGGCGGAGCTTGAGTGAGTCGAAATTGCCACTGCACTCCAGCCTGGGCAATAGAGCAAGACTCCGTCTCAAAAAAAAAAAAAAAAAAAAAAAGAAGAAAAGAAAAGAAATAGAATCAATCTAAATGCCCATCAACAATAAACTAAAGAAAATGTGGCACATATACATCATGGGATACTACAAAGCCATCAAAAAAAAAGAGATCATGTCCTTTGCAGCAACATGGATGGAGCTGGAGGCCATTGCTTTAGCAAACTAATACAAGAACAAAAAAAACACATACTGCATGTTCTTACTTATAAGTGATAGCTAAACAATGAGAACACATGGGCACAAAGAGTGGAACAACAGACATCAAGGTCCGCTTGAGGGTGGAAGATGGGTGGAGGGAGAGAATCAGAAAAAAATGCCTATTGAGTATTATGTTTATTACCGGGGCAATGAAATAATCTATACACCAAACACCTATGATAAGAGTTTACTTATATAACAAACCTGCACATGTACTCCCTGAACCTAAAATAAAAATTATAATAAAAAAGAAATCATTATGTTTAAGAGATAATCTACACTCCTTCATTCATTGCAGCATTATTCACAGTAGCCAAGATATGGAGTCAACCTAAGAGTCTCTCAGTGGATGAATGGATAAAGAAAATGTGACATATATACAAAATGGAATACTATTCAGCTTAAAAATGAAGGGAATCCTCATTTGCAACAACATGGATGAAACTGGAGGATATTACACTAAGTGAAATAAGCTGGGCACAGAAAGATACATACTGCATGACCTCATTTATATGTGGAATCTAAAAAAGTTGAACTCTTAGAAGCAGGGAGTCGAATGGTGGTTGCCACAGTCAAGGGTGAGGGAGGGCTGATGAGAAGATGTTGGTCAAAGGGTTTGAAGTTTTACTTAGGTGAAGAAGTTCAGGAGATATATTATACAGTATGGTAGCTATAGTTAATATTAATAATAATGTATTGTATACTTGAAAATTGCTAAGAGAGTGGATCTTAAATGTTCTCACCAAAAAAATAAGTATGTGAGGCAATGGATATGCTTATTAGCTTGATTTAGCCATGTAACAATGTATACATATATTGAAACATTACAACGTATACTATAAATATATAAATTTTTTGTCAATTATATTGTTTTATATTTTTTGATTTTTAATTGACAAATAAAAATATATATTTATCATGCGCAATATGTTTTGAAATATATATACTTTGGGAAAAGACTAGTTGAGCTACTATATTTAATCTTAATTTTTAAAACATGTTACATTGTTACAAATACCAGCCCTATTAAAATGTAGTCTCCTTGAGAATGAGATCTCTGTACTCTAAAATTCCTCAGTATTTGTTGACTGATATAAATTCCTAAGAAAATTTTTTATACTTCTTTTCATGTTAGCAAACACAAATGTCTGGGTCTCAGCCTGAAACATCAGTTTCTGAGGTCTACATTCCTTCCCAAATCAGAATTCCAGTCTCAGCATTGTCTCCACCATGTTCCTTTGTTTTTCTAATAAAATTTGAAGAATAATCAAGGTCAGTGTTTGCATTTCTTTATACCATTTAAATATTTCTTTTTCATATCTGCCATTCTCAGTATCCTTTATATGGACAGCAGCTACTCATCTCAAAATTTCTTCCTTCTAACATCTCAATCTCTAACTTAAAACACTTCTAAAAACATAAGCTGGGCAGGGCGCAGTGGCTTACGCCTGTAATCCCAGCACTTTGGGAGGCTGAGGCAGGTGGATCACGAGGTCAGGATATCGAGACTAGCCTGGCTAACATGGTGAAACCCCGTCTCTACTAAAATACAAAAAACTTGCTGGGCATGGTGGTATGTGCCTGTAGTCCCAGCTACTTGGGAGGCTGAGGCAGGGGAATCACTTGAACCTGGGAGGCGGAGGTTGCAGTGAGCTGAGATGGCGCCACTGCACTCCAGCCTGGCGACAGAGCGAGACTCTTTCTGAAACAAACAAACAAACAAAACCCATAAGACGGTGGTTCTTAACTCTTCTGCCTTCCCCTCTGCCTTTTGTAGAAATACCTAATAGTTCTGTCCATTTCTAAAGTAAATCCTCTTCGTTATCCTTGTGCTATCCAGTTTGGCAGTTTTATCACTCCCATTGATTTTATCAACATAATAAAAAGCTTAGCAACGAAGTAGAAAGTGGGCACAGAGGAACCCAGAGGCGGGAGAAAGAAAGGCCTGTGTACTAACATCAATCTCCATTTCTCATCCCTGGAGTCCACGGCCCACATTGAAATCAGAGTAGTCTCTAGGAAATGTGAACTACATGTTTTTTTTTTTTTTTTTAAATTAGAGGTAGGGTCTCGTTATGTTGCCCAGGGTAGTTTCAATCTCCTGGGCTCAAGCAATCCTCCTGCCTTGACCTCCCAAAGTTCTGGGATTACAGGCATGAGTCACCACATCTGGCCTGAACTACATCTTTCGAATTTCCTATTTAATCAGATCCAAGGTCTCCAACCCTAGATATGAATACAAGGAGGTAGAGGAGTAGATATTTTTATTTCACCTTTGTTTATTGACCAACTAGTATAGTCCGGGGTCATGACAGGCACTCAATAAATATTTGTTGAATGAATAAATGAATGACAATCTTTTACAATGTTTCTTTATGTACCATAAACTCAGTCATATTTGCTTCTGCCTACCAATCTATCTTCAAACTGCAATGCTGCATCATTTCAAGTTCCAGAAACACACAGTGCCATTTTCTTCCCTCATTTCTTTTCTCATTGTTTTTTCCCTATGAACCAAATGAATCTCTAGATTGAACTTCAGACTATATTCTACTTTCATTCAATTCATTCTTCAAAATTTCCACAAGGGTAAGATTCATCATGTTCATGTCCATTTCGTCTCTTCCGTGCATTGTAGATGAGAGCTGATAGGTGCTTGGTAGATGCTTGCTGCCTTAAATTAAATTAAATAATTTTGCCTTCATTACCAAGATTTTCACAGAGTATTTCATAATCTCATCCCAATAGTCTTTCCATATTGGCAGAGTAAATATTATTATTTCCCTTTTGCATATCAGAAAAGTTTTAGGTGGTTTGCTGGGTACAACATGATTTATGACAGAGGTGGCACAAAAATTCAAGTCTTCTAATATTGTTTATTTTTCCAAGTTCATAATAGAGATGTTTGAGTACATTTTCATGGTGCCATGGGATCCAGTTGAATTTAGCAGCCATCTAGGGACTCATGGCAAAAGATGCTAGTTTTTTTTTTCAATTTTGTTTTGTTTTGTTTTGTTTTGTTTTGTCTTTTTCCAAACTGGGACCTGTAGAAGGTCAATTTCAGTAGAGAATCTGAGGATGGATAAGGAGGAAAAGTTTTCTCGCTTTGAGCTTCAGAAGTTTCTCTGGAGACATGGGAGAAGAATCAGGATTGTTTTGTTATAAAGATTTTTTTTTAATAATAAAAACACTGAATTACATTTGCAATTTTATCCCACTTCACAGTATTAAGCACAATTTCTAAAAAACTTAAAACATGCCATTTTTATTAATAGTCCATTTAAAACCACCAAACATTTTGATGTCAATTACTAAAACAAGGTTTAACGCTGTCAAAAAGCATTAGTGCTAAAAACAGTCATCCTTTCTGTATTTTCATCTGCAAAGCATTACAGTTTATAAAACAATTTTAACTCTGAATATGTAAGGCCTTATATGAAGGTTTCCATATGTTAAGAATTTTATTTGTGTGTTTGATTTTAAATTGCTTTGAAAAACAGACAGTTGAGGTTTATAGAAAGGAATCTTTCTTTTAGGAAATAAATGTCTCAAAAGTGCAGGGCACCAGCAGTAAAAACATTCTGACCACAAATCAGAAACACATTGGGAAGTGTTTGTTGAGTACACCTTCTGAAACCAGTATTTTGTTTCTATTTGCTGGAAAATTGAAAAATCTGTTGTATCTTGGCATGGCTTCTTGGCCCAGCTCCAGATTTCTTGTGCAGTAGATGGCATTATTGAATATATATACACAGCTAAGCTGCCTGGCTCTCTATTTTAATCAAATAAATTTTAAATATAAAATGTACCTGCTAACAATACCATTATTCAGCTATAGCTGCTACCCAAATCAAATTTGTTTGCATATTCTTTTTTCTCCCCCTTAAAAATTGTGTCTAAGACAAAAAAAAAAAAAGAGAGAAAGAGAAGATGACAATTAATCAGTGTTTTGGCTGCCGAGTGGCATCTGGCCAAAAGCCACCAGGCTGACAACTGGAGTTTGGAGTGTGTTTTTGCAAGGCTAATTTAAGGTGAACTTAGATGGATTCAAGATTTATAAGCCTTAAAATGTCCTGACTGGAGCAAAGTTCAAGTAAAGTAATCTGCTGCTCACTGCACAGACAGGGCTCAGCCCACACTGCCCTGTGATTTAGTCTATAGTCAAGGAGAGTTTTAAAAACAGGCAGAAGGGCTGAGTTTCTGTGTTTCACTTCAAAGGTCTTCTAATAACTGAGAGGATTATACTCTTTTAACCAGCTAAGAAGGTTAGGTGGTTTTGAGCGAGTGCTTTTATAGCTATCAATAATTCTAAGTTTAAACTTTAAGGATCGCCTCTAGTGTACATCTCCTTTAACACATTAATGACTGTGAGAAACTCGCACTTCTGTCTTATAATTTCATAATTTCAGAATAAATGGCAGAACACTTCAAGGAATTGAAAAGACCTCTGGAGCTTCACAGAGTGGTGGGAATTGGATTGAGAAACAATCTTGAGAACCATTTAATTAATGTATTTAGCCTATTTGAAATAGTTTTTAAAAGTGCCCTGAATATAAGAACATATTATTTAGAATAATTGCCAAAAATATAGAAAGTGGGCTTTGATATTAGTTGCTGTACCCAAGCATGTTATAGCCAATACTACTAGATTAGGAGGAAGTTCAAATGTTGCTTTCTAGTGGCAAAAAGAAAAAAAAAATGAACAAAAGGAAACCTTCCTCTATATGAAACACTAAGGATAGTTTAATTGAAATGAAAAGGAACAAACAGAAAACAGCTATTATTTTTAACAAGGGAAGAGAATATTAATTATACTTCTGAATGAATGCCCTTTATAAGGAGTTTCATTTCTTTCTTCCTGTTTATCAGTAGAGAGCTAAAATACTCTATAATGCAGTTTCTGTGTCTAATAGATACATAAAAGGTAAACAATCAGAAGGTTAAAGTGCAGCATCGATTTGTTAAAAATAAATTGTATTGTCACACAAAAAACACACTGTGTTATTATTTTATAAATTTCCTTTTCAAGGAGGCTCAGAACGAGACACCTATGATGGTACAGGGAATTGCAAATTACCTCATTTAAAAATAATAAAATGATATTTCAAAGTAATAGGTTACATCTTGTAAACAATAGTTGATGTTTACAATGGTTCTGAGGGAAAGCAGGGAAAGAGCTTTTGAGATTTTAAGTAACATCAGCCTTTATAACTGTAAGAAAAAACAAGATAATTAAATAGTGGTTGTTTCTTTCACTTTTAAATAGTATTCTTAGGCTGCACTAGTATATTTTCCCTGGCAGCATCAGAGACAAATATGGATTGTTGCACTACAGATGAAAAACGAATTGTGCAGAGCCTTTTAAATGGCCAGACATCAAGCAATGGGTTACTCATTCCCTCAGCACTCTTAACTTAAACAGCCCCAGTTTTCCCCCTAAACATACCTTTTATTTTCTACAAATGTGCATATGTTGTATGTGGAAGCTTAGCAAGTTCTTTGTCCGCTTCTTTTATTTTAAGGTCTACTTTCCACCTGTGTTGGAATAGGGGTAGCAAGACATAAAACAGTCTAGCCAGGCTGTGGGGACAAGCCTTCCCTGGGAGAGAAGACTGATCTGTTTTCTTCTGTAAAATGAAGGAGGCTCTGATAAACATAGAATCATATTTTTTACCACAGTACTTTTTTCCAACACATGCAGCACCATCTTAGAAATAGAATTTGTGCTGATCTTTATTTCCTTGGCTCAGGAACCAAGGGTACCCAGATGCTCTGGTAAGTTTTGCACTGGTTTCATCCTTAGTAAATGTGTTTGTTATGATTAGACTCATTTGAAAAGCTCAGGACCAGAGAGATTCACAGCTGAATTCTACCAGAGGTACAAAGAAGAGCTGGTACCATTCCTACTGAAACTATTCAAAAAAATTGAAGGGGAGGGACTCCTCCCTAACTCATTCTATGAGGCCAGCATCATCCTGATACCAAAATCTGGCAGAGACACAACAAAAAAAAAAGAATACTTTTCAAATTTTCTAGTTTGACTTACACCAAGAAGTCTTCTGTTATACTTGTGGAGTTAGCCTTTAGCTTTGAGGGCTTTGAACCCTGAGGCTAGAGTTCAGGGGGGAAAATCTTCAGCAGGGGATGCCCCATTCCTTGCAGTGAGGAAACTGAAGTCCCCATGAGCTGCACTCACATACATTGCCTATTACAGGAGTGGATTAACATGAGTTTTTCTGTGATATCTCATATGCATTTTAAATATTGGATTTATTTATTTATTTATTTGCTTATTTATTTATCTGTTTGCAGCTAGGAAGTATTGCATTCCTATCAGAAAATGCCACGTATTTCATTAACCAATCCCTAAGTATATTACAGTGGGCATTATCTTCTAGAAAGAACTACAAATCATAGGACTGATTCTAAGTTTGATCTTTTCATTCCTCTTTCCAATACAGCAGGGATGGGAGTCAGAGCAACTCCAAAGCCACACCTTAAGCTTCACCTCTGGCTGATCAGACATATATTTTAAGATTGGACCTTCCATTGATGTAATAATCTTAAATTTACCAAAAATGGGAAAAGGGTAAATCTCCACCTATTCATGACTTCTACTGAATTAATGACATTCGAGTTCTATGACACATCTCTATTGTTACTGCATTATGGACTGCCATTTTTTTCTGTATTCTTTAAAAATCCAAAGGCATTGACTTAAAATGTGTGTATATATCATTGATTTTCAAGATATTCACTTAATATGGCAACACTAAAATGCATTTTTTCTCCTGAAGATACAACAAACTTACTGTGTTTGGAGTAATTTTATGGTAAGCTTTTTCCCTGTTACTTTCTTCACTCTGTGCAGCAGTTGCAGAAAAATTTCTTCTCCAATTTTAGGTACAATGGCAGTTATAAAAACAATAGTGGAAGAGAAATATAATTTTTTTTTGCCTAAAGATATTTCCTACTTCCTGTAAAGAAAGAGCACTGAATCATGAACTAAACAAGATAATACACTTATGCTGTCTCTAAAAATGATATTTTGAGATGGACTTGGAGATCCAAAAGGTTTCTTCAATGGTTTTGTTAACATCAGATGCAATTACATGAAGTAATTTAGTCATTTAGCTATGCATAGCTGAATGTGTGACACAGGGCTACACTTGGTCACTTGTTGCACATAGACACACCCCCAAGCCTAACAGAGCAAGTTAGTGATTCATACACTCTAGAAAACCAAACCAAAGCAAGCCAAGCCAAAACAAAAACAAAATTTAAAGTAAGCCCATCTTGTTAGATGCTTTTGATAATTTCCTCTCCTGAAACTAGGGGAAGGCAGGGCAAAGATTCTGAGTTTGTTGCTTTATGTTATTTAGAAGATGAACTTTGCTTTCACTAAATCTATATCTCTAGCAGCTTTGCTTATATTCTGTATAACTAGTTAGAGTTCTGGAACACAGACTATCATATATTACTATTACATCAGCTTATGCTCTTGTTAGATATCTTCTGGGGGCATCATTTGGAGATATGAGGGCTGCTTGATAAATAGTGTAGTAACTATGGCTCATTTTTAGGCATGGCTACAGAAGACACATAAAGCCTGAGACAATTTGTTACTACCAGTATTATGCATTAGTCTGTTGAAAGCAATGGAAGTGTGATTAAGAAAAAATCTTATTACCAGTTGAAGGTCTCTGAGTTTCTCTGGCTACTTCCACTTTTTTCTTCACAATGAGAAATGAGAAAATGTACAAGCAGCTCTTAGGAAGTTTGCTCTCCTCATCTGAAGTTAGTGTTGTGGGTGATGCACACTTGTATCTGAAAGCTTTTACAGGTTATCAAATCTTGTATGTGTATGGCATTTCTTCTACCTTCAGCGATCATCTGATCTTGTTTGCAGTTTTTCTGGCCCAAGGTAAGTCTGAGAACAAAATGGAATTTAAGTGCTGCTCAGATTGGTAGACTATTGCATAGCTAACCTATCTCTAAAAACAATCCACACAAATTTAAAGCAGAAATGAAGCCTATTGCTGCTGTTAAGCTAAAAGTCTATTCAGAATCCCTAGGTGGCATGGAAAGCATTTAGACTCATTTCATTCACATGTCAGGTAAAGACTTTCATTTAGCAGTGAGATGAATGCTGAATAATGGATCTTTTGAATAATGTAATTAAGAATTCATTAGAGGGGACTTAAAAAATGACAGAATGCAATGTGTGTGTGTACTCCCTACACTAAACTCCCAAAATGTATCATAGGGTTGATGATTTTTAAAAATCAGCAGAGAACCAATTAGAAAAATACTGATTTCATTTACAAAATTCAGACAATAATTTCAATGAGGAACAAATATACATTTGAATTTATTAAAAATTATGTTAAATCATGATTAAAGATCATTTATATTATTTTAAAATGTACTCATAATATGACAAAGGACTTAACCAACACTTTCTGAAAAGATCTCTTAGTGTTCACCATGTGAACCTCACAATATTGAAGAAATTCACTTTGTTCTTAGATATCTGATCGAATGAGAAATGGCAAACTTCCCTTTTAATTCCTTGCTGTATTTTAATTTAAATGATGAAAAGGTTTAAAAGAGACCCAAACGTGGCAACAGCAGGTTAGAGATTTGCCTGTAACAAAAGCAGGTATTGCTGTTATCTTGTATTGCTGTAATTTACACAAAATGAAGGATGTGAAGAATCACGGTTTCATCAGTGAGCAGACATACTAATACTCCTACCATCCCAGTGTTCCCATAGCCTCTGTTGTAGCATGCTGCTTGCATGCTGTGGAAAGAAGCCACCTGATGAACAAGAAGCAGAAGTTTGTGGATATCAGAGTTCAGTGAGTGAGGACCTAGGAGAATCTCTTATAGAAGCGATGATAGAATTGTTACCATTTTTCTTGGTAAAGAGGACATTCTACTGAAATCTTAGAAATGCATTTTCCTAGACCGGGTGTAGTGGCTCACGCCTGTAATCCCAGCACTTTGGGAGGCTGAAGCAGGCAGATCACTTGAGGCCAGGAATTTGAGACCAGCCTCAGCAACATCATGAAACCCTGTCTCCACTAAAAACAGAAAAATTAGCTGGGTGTGGTGGTGCATGTCTATAATCCCAGCTACTCAGGAGGCTGAGGCACGAGAATCCCTTGAACCAGGGAGGTGGAGGTAGCAGTAAGCCGAGATCACGCCACTGCACTCCAGCCTGGGCAACAGAGCAAGACTGAAAAAAAAAAATGCATTTCCTAGCATTTGTAATAATCTATTTTAGTCCATGGAAAGGAATCGTATTCAATAAATTACTCTTGCATTTTTTTTCTCTTAACATGTTACAAGCCATTATTATCTGTGGCATAAAATCTATTATTTTTTTCATCAGTTTTTTTTTTCCAAAAAGCCAAAAAATTGATGGAATATAATTAATTAATTTGCTTTCATTGTGCAAAAATGTGGGCTCTATTGAATTAGTGATTCAATTGTGAATATATGACCTAAACATTTTATTTCACCTTGTTAAGACTAGATTGAGACAAATAATTAATCATCTAAAAATAGTTGTTTCTGAGTCTTGAGCAACTACACAGAACTGACTTGTAAACTGAGCCTGATTTCCCATTCCCTTTTGAGAATTCTGGCCCAGAAGAGCTAGACTCTTAAATGCACAGTTTTAATAAAGTAACTAATCTAATCCCCTCCCTTTAAAATTTAAAAATAAAAGAGCCACACCTCTTCGGATGGAATTATTCATCCAGACAGAACATTGGAAGGAAGATTTTAGTGCTGATTGAATTCCCAAGGCTTTCATTTTTTTTTGAAGATCATTTCTGTCTTTAAAGATTACTCCTAGCTAATTGGAAACAGTATGACTTGATAAAATGAACAAAGGATAAAGAATTGAAAATGTTGAGGTCTAATACCTACTGCGTCAGTGACTACTGCTATGTGTTCCAACCACATTGCATTGCCCCTCAGTCTTCATTTTGCTTTCTGCAAGATGTGGAGTTTCTCTTTTCACACTAGGAGTGAGCTAGTGAACACAGGAAGGGCGGATGAAGAAGGTTACCATCTCTGACAATCTTAATATAGCGGTATTATTATTTATGAGATAAATCTAAATTTATGTCCTTGAAGTATATGTACATGGGAAGAACACAAAATAAACACACTTGTTAGCATCAGTTGACAAGTACAACGTAATACATCCTGAACTTAGAACATAAATGTTGAAGAAATCCAATGTAGGAAGTGATCAGAGTTGAGCTGCATTGATTTAATAAATTTTCTAGGAAGAAAGGCATGTTTTAGCTAGGTCTCTTTAAAAAAATAAAATTAATCTTTGAGTTTTGAAGCTAGAAAGACGGCCTTTAGATATTCTTTTGAAGAATGGTCTCTATGGAAGACATACTCTAAGATGACCCACAAGGAGCCTTGAATAATGCCCCCTCCTTGAGTGCAGGTGAAACCTATCACTTGCTTCTAAACCATAGAATATGGCAAAGGTGATAAGATGTCAATTTCTGTGATTTTGTTTTGTTATGTAATACTTTGCCTTAACAGACTGGAGGCAGAGAGATTCTCTTTTTGGCTGTGAAGAAGCAAACAGCCATGTTATATACTACTTATGGAGAGGGCCACCAGGCAGGAAGTTTTCTGGGGCCTGAGGTCATCAGTCCTATAGCTACAAGGAAATAAACTCTTTCAACAACCTCAAGTAAACTTGGAAGCACGTTCTTTTCCAGGTGAGCTTCCAGGTGAGGACACAGGTAATCCATGCCAGGACTCATGACTCATGGAACTGTGTGATAAAACTATGTGTTACTTTAAACCATTAAGTTTGGGGTAAGTTGTTATTCTGAAAAATAAAATTAATAATATAATCTAATATGTTCTTATTATGGAATGCTATCAGTAAAATAATTTTACTTTGCATCTCAATATGTTTTATTTCTAAATTATATATAAAATTACTGTAAATATGCAGATTGTCATTGAAGTTTCATTTCCTTCTTAGTTTATTACACAATAATAAAAAAATATAAGTTATTATCTTTTCCTCTTGTCTACCTAATGGATTACCTCTACCACACTTAGGGTTTCTGCAAACACTTTAGAGAACTGGTGCTTGAATCTGGGGTTTTGCTGGTTGTAGATCAAGTATTTGTGTACAGTAAGTTTAATTGTACTTCAAAAAATGCCTTGCTTATTACAATCTACATATTGTTACTATTTCTACCAAGTGCCAGATGTCCATCTGCAGCTGACCTTGACTGGACCCCATGAAAGACTCAAAAGTGTGGAAGAGAATAATAGTGGAACACTGGGGGAAGGGGCAGAGGTTAAGACAACATCACCCTGGGTCTAGTTGTGTTTAACCTTCAGGTCAGGCCATGAGGGTCTTAAGTTTGCTTGTTCAAACAAATAAACAACCCATACTTAATAGTTTTTACCTGCATTCTATCTTTCTAAGGAATACATAGAATATTTATATATATGAGATAGTGCATTTATACACAGTCTTGGTACATTCTATCCCTACTTCCTTACACTTTGCCCTCTTTTTTAATTCAGAATTTTATAAGTGAGGTCAAATTGACCAAAGATTCTAGATAGTCAGGACGCTATATGTATTTTATAGGAAACAACTGGAAAAAGCCATTTTACTTAAAATTTGGGACAGTCACATCACTTATTCCCTTTTGTGGTAAATACAAACTAGATTTCAAGTTGGATATTTAAAAATCAATGACTGAGGCTGAGGCAGAGGAATGGAGTGAACCCGGGAGGTGGAGCTTGCAGTGAGCTGAGATCTTGCCACTTCACTCCAGCCTGGGCGACAGAGTGAGACTCCGTCTCAAAACAAAACAAAAAACAACAACAACAAAAAAACAATGACTGTTAACATATTTTATCTTCTATTCCCAACCACTGGGGGACTAAAGTTGAGGATGTCCTGGGAATAAATAGATAATTGTCATTTACTCAGTAATTACTGCACATAAAGTGTGAGGATGGAAAATTGACCTAGGTTACATCTTTTAATCCTTACACTAGCTCTCTTGGGTTCAGTAGAGAAGAGTGATTCAAAGCACTACTCCAGAATCAGAATGTTGGGTTCTTATGCCCACTCTACCACTTTATGTAACTTTGGCACATAAAGTGTATATAATTTTTCTCTGCTCCAGGCTTCTAAATCATTCATTCATTCAACAAGTATGTATTAGTACATTCTATGAGCCACCTATTCTTTCAGGTACTGGGAATTTAATAGTGAACAAACTAGTCTAAATGCCACCTGAATCTCATGCTCTAGTGGGAGAGATTGAGATGATGGTAAAATAAACAGATATATGAAATGTTAGGTGGTAGCAAGTGCTCTAAAGGAAAGTAAAGCATAATAATTTGAATGGATAAAAACAGGAGGAGGATGCTATTTCTACAGAATGGTCAGAAAATGTCTCTCTGAGAAGGAAGGTGTCCTTTGAGCAGAGGTTAAAAGGATGTATAGACAGAAGCATGCATATATCTGGAGGAAGAAATTTCAAAAAGGGTGAGGAAAATGTCCCAGGGCCCAAAGAAGAGAACGTACATACTTTGGAGAGAGTCAGAAGGCCAATGTGGCTAGAGTAGAATGAGTCAGGAAGAGACTGGTAAGAGATACTCCCAGAGAGGTTGCAGGGCCACGATCATTTTGGGCCTTACAGGATGAATGGAGCTGAAGGTTACTAGAAGTTTTTGGAAATTCTAATATGACATCATCTGCTTTACCTTTTAAAAGAATTCTTCTTGCTAGTGTGTAAACAACACATTGCAGGGAACAAGAAGGGGAGAAGGGAGACCAGTTAGAAGGTCATTGCAATAATTCAGATGAGAGACGATGTTGGCTTTGACTATGATAGGATTCCAAGTGTATTTTGAAGGTGCAGCTAATTGCATCTGCTGATGGATTGGAATAAAATGTAAGAAAAAGTTGTGAATAATGATACTCAGATTTTGGTAAATGGAAAAGGTGAATTGTTATTGACTGGGTTGGAGGAAACTGGAATTAGAAAAAATTTGGAGAACGTATAAATAATTCTGTTTTGAGCACGACAAAATCTTTCATGCTATCAAATATCTAAAGAGAGATATTAAGTGGGAGGTGAATACACAAAGTTCAGAGAAGTGGATGGGTTATCCTGGTGCTTAGTCATATTTAAAACCATAGTAAGAGGTGCAGTTACCAAGAGAAGATTATATTTAGCAGGAGAACAGGTCTTCCCCACTTTCTCCCTAGTCTTATTTACATGGTAGTGTGTTGACTATTTGGAGTTTATGTAAATGTTTTCCATTTTAATAAAAGTTCAGGAGATAAGCTAATAGAAAAGAAAAAGATTTGTTCAAACATTATCTCCCAAATATACCAAATAATACATTACTCAGTCCAGAGGGCTGATTTAACTTTAACTTATTTAACTTACAGACTTTGAGAATTAAATATCATCAATAAAAATAAATATATTCATGTACAATTATTTTTGGCATATATTTCTGGTTTTTGGTCCCACCTTCTTATATGATGAATTCTTTTTCTTGTACAGGTATTTTTCAATATCCCCTTTGCTTATTTTTTCCTAATGTTCCTTCCTTTTGCCTGTTCCATTTTATTTACTTTATATACTTTACTTTGCATTTTCTCTTCAATTTTCTTTAGCGTTCAATCCAATCCACATTTAGACTCTCAAATGATTTCATGCCCTTAACACTTCCTTCTCTGTCATCTTTTCTGTTCAGTTTTGACCCTCGGTAGCTGGTGATATTTAGCTTGGAGAAGGGCAGAACAAAGTTATGACTTAAATGCTCTCAATTTACTCCACAAGCATTTGTGGAATACGGCTCTTAGATAGCAGAAGTTTAAGATAGGTATCATGTATTTACTGTCTTTTTAAAGATTCAAGTCTAGTTGGGAAAACATGATGTTCCCAGAAGGAAAAAAATCAGTGTGGAAATAATGGTAAATTTTTCTATTAAAAGTTATGCACACAAATATCGAGGTGCAAATGAGTAGTTGAGTACTGTAGTGGGGTAATGTTTAAGAAAGTTTTACATTGTCTTAATATATTTCCCATTACCTTAAATTGTGGGAAGGTATACATGTGTGACATTGAAAATATTTCACAAGAGTGGAGGAGGGGGCACCAACCAATCTGACTTTCATTGGGTGTCCTTGTAAAATGCAAATTAAAACCATTATGAGATACCATTACACATCTATCAGAATGGCTATTTTTAAAAAGTGTTGTTGAGAACGTGGAACTGAAATTCTCATGTATTGCTGGTGGAAATGCAAAATTGTACAGCCACATTGGAAAGCAGTTCTGCGAATAAAGTTAAACCTATCTTTATAATACAATCTGGCAAGTCTAGTCCTATGTATTTACCAAGATAAATGAAAATGTGTGTTTACATAAACACTTGTAAGTAAAAGTTTATAGTGCCTTTATTCATAAATGCTTCAGACTGGAAAAAAAAAACAAAATAACTGTCAATTAGGCAAATTGTCATATATCCATACATTGAAACATCAAAAAAGAAATAATAAAGAATTACTGATACATGAAATGGCTTGGATGAATGTTATCATTGTACTTGGAGAAAGAAACCAAATTATAATGTTTATATGTAATAGATGATGATTCCTTGCTATGACATTCTGAAAAAGCAAAACTATAGCAAAAACATTAGCAAAATTATAACAAAAACATTAGTAATTGCCAAGGGCTATGGGTGTGGTAAGGAGTTGATTACAAATAGAAAAGAGAAAATTGGAGGGATGATGAAACTGATCTATATTTTGCTTTTGGTATTTGTTACATGACAATATGTGTTTGTAAAGATTCATGGAACTATACACTATAAAAAAGAAACTTTTATTTTATGTTAAATTATACTCCACTAAATGTGGCTTTAAATTTTTTTAATGGAAAAGAGACAGAAAGGTAAACAAAATCTGTTTCCTGAATATGATAATCAGGTGTTTTGAAACTGAGTTTAAGTTTGAATAGTCTATCAAAGGGAATAATACATCATGTACCCTGAATTGAATTCTATTTCATTTTCATTGTTAACAAAAAATCTTCATTTAATGAAGTAGGTAGTTTTAGCAGAAATTCACCTATCGGAGGGAGAAAAGACAAGGACATCTGCCTAAAAATACTGATATTCCTAATGAAGGAAGGACATAAGATTAAGCTATGCTAAAAGCTATACCATGTATTGAGTACCTTCCTCACGTAAAGTGTTTCATACATAATGTCAAATATTGTATAACATTTCTATAAGGTGGATGCCACTTTTATTATTTCTTGTTTACTGATGGGCAAACAGTTTCAGATAATTTAAGCATTTTGTTTAGAATATGGCTAAGCCAGATTTCAAACACAGGTTATTCTGACTCCGCAGTTTATCTTTTCTCTGACACTGTCCTGTCTCCTAAATCATTCTCACGAATGTCTTCTCAATGAGAGAATAGTCATACATAGTTTGAATTATTCCATATTTTGTTGAGAGATGTAAAATACTGAATTCTCTTTGTCAAAAACTTAGACTTCTTCATAAAATATTGCCCACTTATCCAGCTATTCAAAGGATGCATCATTTAATTCCTGACTAATCTTACCTTACTCTGCACCTATGCTCAGAATAATACTGTTTCTGGTCTTCTTTTAGGGTCTTTGCCAGCCATTTCAGATCTTTCCTAAGATCTTAGTATTTGGACAGTGGAATTTTTTTTTAAAAAATTGTTATATAACTCAGAATAATTATACAATTAATTTGGATATATTTCTTATGTACTCTGGCAATGTATTCCTTTAAACATAGTCATCTAAAGACTATATGCTGGGTCAGGTGCAGTGGCTCACACCTGTAATCCCAGCAGTTTGGGAGGCGGAGGTGGGCAGATTACTTGAGGCCAGGAGTTTGGGACCAGCCTGGCCAACATGGCAAAACCCTGACTCTACTAAAAATATAAAAATTAGCCAGGTGTGGTTGCACACACCTGCAGTCCCAGCTACTTGGGAGGCTGAGGCATGAGGATCACTTGAGCTACAGAGGTGGAGGTTGCAGTGAGCCAAGATTGTGCCACTGCACTCCAACCTGGGCGATAAGAAGGAAACAAAGAATATGTGTCCTCTAAGTAACTGTAAGTTCTTTAAAGACAAAATCTATCTCATATTTTCTGGTACACTTTATGACATTAACTCAAAATCCTCCTAAATAAGATATATTTAATAAACATATTTGAAGAAATAAAGGAAGAAAGGAAGGAATGAAAATGATAAAGGAGAATACATTAAAAATTTATGGAGTTGGATGGACTTTCATCCAAGTTCCAGATTTCTTATTTGCTAGTTGGTTAACTTTGACTTCATTATTTAACCGTGCTAAGACTCACTTTCCTCTCCTATAAAGTGAGGCTAATCATCTATTTATTGTGAATTATTGTCAGGATTAAATGGGGAAAATATGTGAAATGCTTATTAGCACAGTTCCAAACATAGTAAGTGTTTGAGGCACAATATTTATTAATAATGTTAGTAAAAATTCTATTATTCTATTCTATATTGTTTCATTAATAATAAAAACTATACATTAATGATAATATTTAGGTGCTTTCCAAATTTCCTTTACTTTTTAATTCTCCTTTTGAATTCTAACACAGATACATAATTTAGAGAATGTGACTATATGAGTAGAATGATTTAGTCCAGTTTTTAAGTTATTTTCCTTGAAGTGAAGGGAAATGTGGTTATGAGAGAAAGGATAAGTTGGGGTGGCAGCTCTGGATATTTCATCTATATCCATAACCATATCTACTATTATCATGTTTGTGTAGTAGAAATAATTTGAAAATGATTAATTTGATATAAATATAGCATTGAAAACTCTATAAGAATAAGTAACATAAAATTAATCTATGATTCCTAAGGTTAATAATTGGTGGCTCCAAGTATGGCTCAAGCATAAGCTAAATCAACCCCTGGATTTATGCCTATTAAGTTAGTGTTAGAGGAGTGTGTCTATCTGGGACCAATTTTCAAGAAGCCCTAAAGAGTTTCTTAAGGGGAGAACTTGTTCTGATGAAAAGGAAAAGCCTGCAAGCAAGCTTTTGTCAGACACAAGGTTTCTGTGTCCAAAAGGATAAGCTATTTCTGAGCAAGCATTGTAAATATCCTTTGCATTAGCCCCTCAATTTAATCAATAAATCTGAGTCCCTCTGAGGAATCAGGGATGGAAGCAGAGTGGCTGTAATTAACAATGGAAAGAATTATCTCATACAAGAGAAAACACCCATAAGTTTCATTGCAGTGAAATCTTGAGATAATTCAGTTTCATTTTAGGTTCTCCAATTTTTTTTTTTTTTTTTTTTTTTTTTTATAGCAAATCAGCAGCAGTTGGGCTGCTAGATGAGAGAGTCTGGCCATGGCTGGTGGACATTAGAAAATTTGAGGAGCAAAGTGCTGAGTATGTCATGTGATGAATGGAAGAGCGGCCTCTGAGATTCACAGAAGAGGTTCTCTTGGGACTCCATCCTTAAGAAAGGCGTCACTTCGTCAAGGGGCTTAGAGAGAAAGTATAAACCAAACACAGTTCCACACTTTACATTAAGAGTTTTATTTAAAAGGATGGTATTATATTACCAGTGAACTTCTCTACATGCAAAAGTGGCATTACTTTTTAACCTTTGAGTGAACATCCCTTCTGAAGTGCACTAGTTTTGATTTTCCTTGTAACCAGTGAATTTTTCCTTGTCGTTACAGTGATTTCTATAACCATGGAACAAAGAGTAATTTAGCCCATGTAAGTTGTGACTTTGAACATTTTGCACATCAACCAACTCTGCTAACCGGTCACAGCCAGAGCAATGACGGAACCAAAAGAAAAACGAAGACAATGCTTGAAAGCTGCTGTGAGAAACTAGTAATCCTATATAGTTGGGTGTTCATTCAATCTGTACAGGAAAAGCAAGGAGACAAAATATTGGTTAAAAAAAAAAAGCCTAAAGCTAGTAATTAGGAGCAGGAGAAAGCAATGACACATTTAGATTATTGCACTTCACTTTGTATTGGTATCAGCTTTTGAATATTTCAGCAGCATTCATTTACATACCCACTGAGGATTGCTGAGCAGAAATTACCCTTTGTTCTCAGGGATAGAATTCAGTGGGGTTACAAGTTATATCTAGACTTTGGCCCCTTCAAATAGAAAGAGCTTTGTGATAATGCGTTGAATAATATGTAATCTTCACTTTTGTTAAGTAAAACCACAGGATTTTCCTACACAATCATTTGTAAGTGTTTGCATCGTGAGGATCGAAAATTTGTCTATTGTGAAGATATGCTTTGATGGGACTATTCTAAAAGTAGTTGTGAAATGTAATGTGTGACACCTGGATTTTAATACTTGTCACACCCATCTCTCCCAGTCATCTCCCAGTACCACCTGCCACTCCAGCTCAGAGAAGGTAAGAGTTTTTCCGAAGATCACACAGTTAGTAGTTGAGAAACAGTATCTCAGGTGTCCCTAAGCCCACAATACAGTCTCATTTCTGTCCCAAATTAAGTCCAAGGTCTGAGGTAAGTCATTCTTATGAGACTAAATGAGTGTTACCTGCAAAGTACATGAACTGATGGGTGCTAAGAACCATCTAGGCCTTGCACACAGCTATTTGAATAGGAAAAAAAATAGAAAGCACGTTTTTAACTTCATACACAGATACTAAATAAAACTGAGTTGATAAAGAATGGAAAAGTCTGAATAGAGAGGGAGAATATTCCCCCAAAGAACTTTCTAAACCACCAAAGTGTCTTTTTCAAGTCATGTTCTTATCTGTTTCCACCCTTGCTCCACAGTCTCCTCAAAGACCCTTTGCCAGGTAAGTTTAGATGTATTATAAACATACCCTTGTGAACAAGAGCCGTAATTCTCCTCCACGCGGGGCCCTGCTGCTGATGACAATCAGCCCCAGGTAGCCTTTCACTTACCAATCCCCGTTGGCTCCAAAATAAGTTTTGAAAAAAGTGAATCAGAGCTGAGGATCCAAATGATAAGTAAAATGAAGGAATGCTTGTGTTTTCACAGCTTGTGTTTTTGAGGTGGTCAAAAGTCACGGAGCTGACCCACCCCTGAGAGCCCTCATCATTGCATTCATCTATTAACAACCATTCCTGTTTGAGTTCAGGCTGCTAACCTTTTCTCCAGAGTCATGTTTGAAGATTAGCCTTGTAGTCAGGCTAATAGCAATTCCTCCAAAATAAACCACAACCTATATTTCCCTGTTATTCTGTTTTAAAGTTTAACATCCTTAGAGTTTACATCAGAAGTACCTATTAAATGAACACAGTAGAAACAGTATAAATTTTTTTTAAAGAAGATGTGAGTTGGAAATAATGATTTTCCCCAGGATGAAGGCTGACACCAGAATTAAGTTAAAAAAAATTAAAGCCATCTAGTATCAAATCAGGATAGCTAGAATTTACTCAGGACATCTTGGGTCAAATCTCTACTCAGTGCCCTGAACCATTACCCCAAGCAATGTGCTAGGCTCCGGGCTGTGTTAGACTCTTCCAGACTTTCAGAAATTTTTTCTTCTTGTTGAGTAGAAAATATGAGTGTGTAGAGAACAGCCATACAGAACAGTGGGAACAACAAATGAGTTGAACATGTAACAAAGAACTCAGAAAAGAAAGATGTTGTTTTGTTCGGATGCCAGGGAAAGTTTCACAGAGAGGTGGCACAGAATGGAACTTTAGTGAGTGGCTATTTGCATTTTAAAATACTTAGCAAACAGTTCTATTTCGTGTGTTCAATATTTCAAAGATACATACTGGGTGTTGTGCAGGCTCACAAAATTAAGTATTGATATTTGGGAAACCCTTCTTGGAAAACATAAAGAACCACAGAGGAAAGCCTACATGAGCTTGGTGGAGTTAGCAAAACTTTCAAAGTAGAAATGTTTTTTTGTGCTGAATCCTGTAAGGTTGGTAGACCTCCAGCAAGTGGACAAGAATGCAAAAATTAAGCCACTTTACCATTGAATGTAATAGACTAAGTTTATGAACTAAACATATGCTTAAGAGGAAACTCAGATATTATGTCATCCATTCACTGGAGGACAAGTTAAAATCACCTCTTACTGCCGGGCGCGGTGGCTCACGCCTGTAATCCCAGCACTTTGGGAGGCCGAGGCAGGTGGATCACGAGGTCAAGAGATCGAGACCATCCTGGCTAACACGGTGAAATCCCGTCTCTACTAAAAATACAAAAAATTAGCCGGGCGTGGTGGCGGGCGCCTGTAGTCCCAGCTACTCGGGAGGCTGAGGCAGGAGAATGGCGTGAACCCGGGAGGCGGAGCTTGCAGTGAGCCGAGATCGCGCCACTGCACTCCAGCCTGGGAGACAGAGCGAGACTCCGTCTCAAAAAAAAAAAAAAAAAAAAAAAAAAAAAAAAAAAAAAAAATCACCTCTTACTTTCCTACAATTTATTTGAGAGTATTTGTGTCTCCCCACCCATTTCCATATTTCTTTGGAATACAAGCATGCATGCATTTTTTTGGAATATTCACATTTTGATTACAAATATAAAGTTGAATATATGTTTCTCTTCTAAATTAATTACTTGTACTAGCAAGTAGTAAAGGTGGGAATAGAGAATTACCTCCAAAGCAGCTTTTATTTTAGTTCGAAATACAATCTGGGCATTTCTGTGGCCAACTGAATGGGCTAGAAATCGCATTCTTCTAGAGGTTAACATGAGTCTGTATATCCTGAGTTCCTGCTGACTGACAGCAGTTGGAGAGTGGCTATGTAGAAGGGAAAAGTCAGTTTGTATTAAAATTTAACTGCATATATTACGTAAAGTAAGCCCACAGATGCATTCAAACCTTCAAGCACACTTTGAAAGATCAAAACAAACCATAACTTGCTGAATTTGAATGTAAGGAGTATTTGGAATATGTGTTTTTGAACTAACCAACACCCCCCAAAAGGCTATGTGCTTATATAAATACATCCATATAGAGCAGTACCAGGAAACTTATTCTTGTTATTATATATTCAGGTGAGACAAGTGGCTTTTTGCTGTTGATTGTCAGTGTTTTATTGAAGGCTTGTACTCTACTAAAGAAAGCAAGGTCAGTGCTGGGGTAAATTTCTGGCAGATATTTAAACTTCTGAGAGGGTGAATGCCATTTAGAAATAATGTGGTTTTTATTAAATAAATCTGTCTAATAATATTAAGGTGCTATTTTAATGTTAAGAACAGACAAAGCCAATCTTAGGTACTAAGAGATGGGGGCAGAAGGTTGGGGTCACGGCAGGGAGGGAGTTGAGCCCTAGTTGCACCTGGTTAAGGCTGACACTGAGAACAGGAAAAGATGAAAAACAAAACTCTACTTTATTTCCATATGAGAGGATGGTTTATTTTTATTTAAATTCCCCTTTGCCTTACTGAATTTTCAACAGAGTGAAGTATAAAATTTAAACATATTTCTAATATGGAATGGAAGTAATAGACTTTCTCTAGACAGATATGAAAGCCAGATTTTTGTTTTTAGTAATTCAGTGAAAATTAAGAATAAACATTATAAATATAAAATAAGGATATTGTTATTATGATTCAGCATACCATGAAATTCTAATGCAGATTTTCAAATGTTAAAGTAAGTTTATACCTGTATTTTCTTTAGTTATCTATGCTAGTGAACAAATTGCTATGTCTTTAGTGGATCTAAAATTCACAAGCATGGAGAATCCGAATAAAGCCTAGCAGTTTGTGTATTTACCTTATTTGACAAAATAAAGTTCTTCATCCCAAGAGGAATACTTAAAACCTTATTAATATTATCTCCACAGCACCTTTTACTTTCAGTGACTCTACACTAATAATAGTCTCACAATTCATCTTTAAAGATACAATTAATACTAGCACTGTTGTATAAAACACTGTTTGGAGTACGCATAACTGAAACCAAAACTCTAACAAATTTTGAGAGCCTTGTAAATTGAAACTACGTGAGATTGATACTTAAATCCCCAAATGCATTTAAGTCTTAACAGAAGAATGATTATTACACCTATGAGATTTTTGTCATTAATATGGCTTTGGTGGCCAGTGGGAATGGGCTCAACTCTTAAGGAAAGTTAGACGCCAAAGCCACAGGCCATCCAATGAGACGAAACCCTCACAGCAACTAAGGGAAAATAATAAATAATGAGAAACCTTTACCACCAGCTATCCAAAGCAGGCTCAAAACAGGTTATGGAAGGATGAAATAACACAGAAGGGGAATCTAGACATTGAAAAGCAACATCTTGTAGTTCTTAGAACATTTTTTCCATTATCTTAGAGAACTGGTACTGGAGGCAGGAAGAAAAGAAAGAAAGAAAAAAGAAACAAAGGAGAAAAGGATGAAAGGAAGGAAGAAAAAGAGAAAGGAGAAAAAGAAGTCTATTGATTATAGTTAGAAGAGAATAATTTGATTTTTTTAGCATAATTAAAAGACAAATATTTAAGGTGTTGGATACCCCAATTACACAGACTTGATCTCTGCAAATTATACAGATGTATTAAATTATCAAATGTATTCCTCAAATATGTACAACAATTATGCATCAATAAAAATATATAATTAATTTTAGAAAAAATAAATGCATTGATTAAGGCAGAATTTTTTACATTGAAGGTTTATAACTTCTGAAAGTCTTGGAAAATGTTTTGGGGTTTTCTGAGAAAGGCAACAGTGTGATTTGATCACATGGGTGATTCATTGATACTTCCTCATATAACTGTAACTCTTACTCTCTTACTTCATCTTCATTGATCCTGGTTATTCCTGTTTCATTTCTGTAGTTTTCACATCATCCCCCTGATATCACCTCACATTTTATGACCTAAAAAGACATTCTTTCTTTTAAATTCATTTCTTTCTTTTAAATTCTGACATGATTTTGTCCCCTATTTTGTGGTATGGTATCTTCAGTTATGTTATTCATTTTTAAATTTTCATTTTAGTGGAGAGTGAAAGAAACTAAATCTCTTTAGCTATATTAATTTAATATTTTCTTAACCTTCAGCTTCATTTCTTACATTTTCTCAATATCTTTTTCTAAAAAACAAAAACAAAAAATCTCCTGCTCTTACTAATGTGTTTCCTTCCTTCAAAAGTGGTAGCGCAATTCCAGGTAGCTTGGATTTGCCTTTCTACGTCATTGCTGTCTCTTCTCTCTTCTTCCCCAACTCCAGCACTCACATTCAATCGTCAACAAGAGCAGGGGTCTCCAGCCCTTGAGCCAGGGACTGGGACCTGTCCATGGCCTCTTAGGAACTCGGCCACACAGCAGGAGGTGGGCTGCTGCCAGAGAGCAAGTATTACCGCCTGAGCTCTACCTCCTGTCAGATCAGCGGGGGCATTAGATTGTCATAGGAGCACAAACCCTACTGTGAACTGCGCATGTGAGGGGTCTAGGTTGCGTGCTCCTTGTGAGAATCTAACTAATGCCTGATGATCTGAGGTGGAATGGTTTCATCCTCTCCCACTCCCCTTCCGTGGAAAAATTGTCTCTCACAAAATCGGTCTCTGGTGCCAAAAAGATGGGGAACTCCTGAGGAGAATTTCTGTCTCAGCACTAGAGTCTCACATCTCTTTTTTATTTTTCTTTTCCACTGTCATTGCCCTAGAAGAGAACCTTATTAATACCCTAGAAGATTCTTGAAATGTTTCCTAATGGGTCTTTTCAAGTGACACACACACACACACACACACACACACACACACACACAATCTAGCCAGAATTTGTTATTAAATTGTTCATCACATCGCTGAATGTCCTCTATACCAATGATTTCCAAACATAAAAAAGTAAGAAATACAATTTTTTTGTGATTTGCTGTACGTATTTATAAAAATTGGCATTTTTGCATACATCTGTCAATAGCTCTCTTGATATTATCACTGAAAAATATTTCATGAAACAATATTTGTTTTTTACTGCCTGGGATAGGCAGCTCTAATGTATTTTTTTCTACTTTATTCCTCTCTATTCTCTTCCAGTATAGATTTTTCAGCTCTCACAATTAGTGAATTCTGTACTCACAAATTTATCTAAACTCTAAAATTTTTTTGTAAGCTCCCAAATCAATACTCATGGAACTTTACAGTCATGTGTGGGTATGTTCATGCTCAGAGCAGTGAAAAACTTGAGTCACTTGACAGGCATATACCAAGGTGAGCAAGGTAACAATCTCCCTTCTTGTTTTTGTACTCTGTAAGAGTGTTTTGTACTCTCTAAGAGTGTTTTGCACTCTTGTGCTTTTTGTTGGTGATTTCGCTGTTCAATCTGGCCCCCAAGCATGGCGCTGAAGTCTAGTGTTCCTAAATTCGACAAAGCTGTGATGTCCCTTACAGAGAAAATATAGGTTGGTTACATACACTTCTTTCAGACATGACTATGGTTCTGTTGGACATGGGTCCAACATTAGTGAATGAATAATATGTGTTAAGTAAGATATCTTTAAACAGAAGCACACATAAAGGAAGGTTATGTATTGATTGGTGTAGGCCAGAGGCTCCACAGACATGAAACCTGTGTATCTCCTAGGGACAATGATTCGGTATTCACTAATTCAATGTTCAAAGGGACTTTATAGAACACAATTACTTTGAATAATAAAAACCAACTTTATTGTATTTCAGTTCTTAAAATTCTTGTCAGAACCCTCTGAAGTTATTCAGTGGGCTGACATACAATTTGCAAAGTATTGCCTCACATGAATAATTTCTCTCCAGGGTTAATACTAGGAAAAACTGTTTCTCAAGAGCAAATGGTATGTTTTCTTTTCTCTGCGTGATTTGTAACTTGTCGCTTTGTACTTTTTACCTTGCCTGCCAGGAAACTTAATGCAATTTTTATGCTCAATTACAGCAATGGTATTAACCCTCAGTGTTGTAAGGTTTGCTTTTCGGTTTTTAGCCTTAGTTTTCTCCTTTTATTTCTACTATATTATTTTTGTTTGATTTATCCTTTTTGTAAAGAGCCTTGAAACCTTTAGGGAAAATATGAGAAATGAATAAAAGAATTAATGAATAAGTAAATAATAGAAACAAGTAATCTTGGAAGAAAGATCCAGAGATAAGAAGCTGTCTTTACAGAAGAGACTTTAAAATATAACATTATTGTTGAATGCTTTGATATTATGTGTTCTCCTTATTAAGATGATTTGTTAAATGTGTAGTATGTTAAAAACGTTCCTTGTGAAGATGAAGTAAAAGGGTTCTCTGAAATGTCAGAATAATTAAATAAAGCTTAACTTATCATAACAGTGTAAGAAAATTACAGAATGTAAGTTAATGTGCAGCCTTCTAAAATCCTCTCTGCCTCTTCATTATTGCAAGTATAGTCAACAAACACTGATGATATCAGAAAAAATCCTTGATATTCTTTAGTAATGCAAAACAAATATACTATGGATAATTAAATAATTAATAATGAATATCTAATTGTAACCAATGATTTAAATTATTTAAATAATTAACTTATGCACTGCAGTTGTTCAGCCTTTCTTCCCGTATCACTATGTCTGTTCATGATGTTAATCCTAAATAATCAAGAATTGCTATACCAAATTTCAAAATAAATAAACATTTATCTACTTTCCTCACTTAATACAACTCAGTATCTTTTATGAATTAAGAGTTTCAATGAAAAAAGTAATGTATAATACATTCATTAATTCTGAAATTCTAAGATGACACAATTTGGCACAATCTAAGATTTCCCATAATTTGTTTAAAAAGTTATAATTGGTCAAACAAATGATAGAAGCACAATGTGTGAGTGTATTCACTTAACAAGTATAATATCACAATTGAGAAAATCTCTATTGGTAAAAATAATTGCCATGTTCAATATCTGCTAAAGGATACTCGTCTCCTAAGAGATCCACAATTTTAAAAGGTCTCTTGAAGATTTGAATGTTCTCAGTACAAAAAATTATAATATTTGAGATGATGGAGGTCCCAGTAACCTGTGTTTCATCATTACACATTGTATATTTGTATCAAAATAGCACATGTACCACATAAATATATACAACTATTATGTATCCATAACTAAAAATAAAAAAATTAAAAATGTAAGAGGTATCTCCAAATAAACTTTCTACAGTTTATCTCCAGTTATTTTAAAACAATGATATTGCTTCTCTATTTTACATTTAGTAAGAAATTGAGAGTCTTCAAGCCCAAGTCTACTTTCAAGCAATAAACCAAATGATAAATTCCCTTGGGGAATAGGAGATTGCATTCTGGGGAATACAAATCAATTTCAGAAAATCTGGTAAATTTTGGTTTCACGAGAACACTGTATTTTAAAAATTAGTCCATTAGTAAGCAAATAGCCAGGAGATTTTATCTGTACATTTATACATATTTTACTAAGGGGATTGTTCATCATTATGCACCTATTTTCCTACTTCTCTATATTTGTACATAAAAAATCCATCTAAAAATCACATGCATATACTATAAAATGTCTTAAGAATTAAATGTATAAATTTTGGATTAAGAAATTAGAATAGGAATTAATAAAAATTACTTAATTTCCTATTACTAGTGAATCTCATGATCTGTTCTAATGGAAAGTGTGTTCTGCGTTAGTTACCCAAAATAGTTTGTGGTTGGTAACAGCAACTTTTGATCCATACTTAGAGATCTTCCCTAAAAATTATTTACATATATTTCTATAGCTCTACAAAGGCCTTTTATATTGGAAAAGTTAATTTTACCACTGTTAGGAAGAGACAAAACATCCTTTTTTTGTAACCATTAAAATACTTATAAAAGAATATTTATAAATATAGATGACAGGAATCTACATTAATATCACTAATATATCACAAATACATCAGAATTTAAAAGCAGAAGAGTGCAGGGGTTAATCATATAGATTCTAGAGCAGCAGCTTGGATTCAAGTTCCAGTTCTGCCCTAACTATTCCTGGGATATTGGACAGGAGAGTTAATCTCTTCATGCCTATTTCCTCATTTGCAAAATAGGAATCATTGTATGATATCTACTTTGCAAGGATGCTATAAGGAGTAAATGAACAAATTATTTACAAAGTAGTAAAAAAAGAATGAGGCTCATAGGAGTAACCATACAAGTGTTTGTTTAAGTAAATAACTAGGTGAAAAGATTTTGTTTTTTTTAATTATACTTTAAGTTTTAGGGTACATGTGCACATTGTGCAGGTTAGTTACATATGTATACATGTGCCATGCTGGTGCGCTGCACCCACTAACGCGTCATCTAGCATTAGGTATATCTCCCAATGCTATCCCTCCCCCTCCCCCCACCCCACCACAGTCCCCAGAGTGTGATATTCCCCTTCCTGTGTCCATGTGATCTCATTGTTCAATTCCCACCTATGAGTGAGAATATGCGGTGTTTGGTTTTTTGTTCTTGCGATAGTTTACTGAGAATGATGCTTTCCAATTTCATCCATGTCCCTACAAAGGACATGAACTCATCATTTTTTATGGCTGCATAGTATTCCATGGTGTATATGTGCCACATTTTCTTAATCCAGTCTATCATTGACGGAGTCTCGCTCTGCCGCCCAGGCTGGAGTGCAGTGGTGCGATCTCGGCTCACTGCAAGCCCCGCCTCCCAGGTTCACGCTGTTCTCCTGCCTCAGCCTCCCGAGTAGCTGGGACTACAGTCGCCCGCCACCACGCCCGACTAATTTTTTTGTATATTTTAGTAGAACGGGGTTTCACTGTATTAGCCAGGATGGTCTCGATCTCCTGACCCCGTGATCCGCCCGCCTTGGCCTCCCAAAGTGCTGGGATTACAGTCGTGAGCCACCGCGCCTGGCCTAGGTGAGATTTATAATGCTTCAGATAAGCGATGGTTATCCCAATGTTAAAAACAAATGTATGGTATTTAAAAACTGAATTGAAACCCAGAAATCACATAGAAACAGTGGTATTATTTCTTTTAAACAGTGTTATCACTCCCCCATATATTTTTCCAGATGAAATCATATGGAGAATCCCAAAATGGAAAACAAATCCATGTTGTTAAAGAAGGGAAGAAGGCCTCGATCCCAGCCCATGGTACCTACGGTTACCTCCCAGAAACCTCTGAATCAAGCCAAGGAATCCTGAGGTTCTAATGATGAATATTTTAAAATCCGTGATTTTGATTTTAGCCTTTTTATAAATGAGGTAACTGAGCTAAGTGTTGGTAAATTTTTCACTTTCAAAATGGCACAGTTTATTAGTCTTCAGCAAACAATAAAAACTAAAGATTCTTGTCCATGTCACACTCACTTTCATGGCTGTCTTAAAGCTTAAAAGGGTTAGACTCTTACTAGGCAAGCTGAAAACATAGTTTATTCTTTTGTATCCAGATGTTCCCAATTTCTCACTTTAGAGACACGTCTTCTGACGATATTCCTACAGTTAAACGCATCTCCCTCCCAATCTATCGTTATGACACATATGAAAGAAAACTAATTTTTAGCTTACTTATTTGCTTGTCAGTTGCATAGGTTCTGTATATGCAAATCAGTTAACACTGAGTCAACACAGTGTTAAAATATGCTTGAGTGTAAATTTCACAGTGATATAGGTTGATCTATATAGCATCTAGGAAAGAGATGAACATTCAAATTATGACTTTCATCTGCACAGCATTTCTTACTGTACACATTGCCAACACAAACACACTAATCCGGCTCAAAACATTCTATTTAAGGGAATGGAGGCTTTAAAAGCTTATGAAAATTAACATAGGTAGCAAACAAGAGCCAAGATTTGAGCTGGGCTCAAATTTAGTTGAGCTCAATTTTCATATCCTTCTTAAAGTCTTTAACATTTGATGTGTGGATGTCTATTTTGATTGCTAATTATATTTTAAAAAGCTTATACACATGATTAGAGTTAAGGTAAAATATTATTTATATAGCACAGACCAATATTACAGGCTTGGAGGTAAAATGTAAACTTTAGAATACTGAGTAAGTATTTTTGGATGTAAACAGGCTGTTACATTTACCTATTTTTGGTATGTACAGATATAATGGTTGGTTTTTCTTCTTTGTGTCTTGATAAACATACAATTAAATGTATCACAAAACAACCATCTTAGGGCCAAAAAATACATGGAGGCTGTTATAACTATTTCTCATATTTAAAATTAGGTGAAATATTTAGTGATATAATTAGTTTATAATTATCTGAATTTCTGAAGCTGGAAAAAATATGCCAGTTGGACCATTGACTCATCTGTTACATTATATGGAAATAAGTCTTGATCTGGGGTTGTGAATAAGGTTAAAGAACATAGCATCATATCTACAAGCTACTAGCCTCTGTGTGGTCATAAAAATTTGGCTCAATACTGCTTTTCAAATAGAGTAAAGTGACATGAAAAGAAATGTGTACCATCAGCTGCTTTTCCTTTAATAGGATTCTCTGTTGTGCAAATCACTGCAGTGGAATGATGCAGTGGGGCATAAGGACAATGAATCAGGTAATAAATTGAGTGTAACACTAATTATATTCACTATAAACCAAAATATATACATTTGATGGCCATGATGGCACATCAATGTTCAAAGTCCAAGGTGAAAAATGCATTACAACTTCTCTCTCTATAAAAACTCAACAGTCTGCTGCAGTCTGTCTGGTATCAAATTCTATATATCTATCTGTGTTTTCAGCATAGAAACCCAACTCCTAAAGGAAAGGTCATTATCATTATTAAGTTTTATAAGAAAATCAGTACGTACCAGTGTCTATTTAATAACGGAGACATCATGAATGTCAGACTTAACACACTTTGCAGAGTGCTAATTCTTAAAGTATATCCTTGTCTCAAGTTGAAGTCAGTATTGGAAATTTTATATTACCTGTTCTGCCTGAAACATTGAAAAGTATTTCTGTAATAGCTAGGTTAAAAAAATAGTGACTTTTTATAACTTTGTCTAATTTTTATTTCAATTTCAAAGCTGATAATAGCGAAAAGTCATACGACATTGACATTGGCCTGAGTTAAGCAAGAGGATAATTTTAACCACTACATTTTATGTTATCTTCAGGTTGAAATAAGTCATTCATGTGTGCTGCTGTTTGCACAGATCTGTAAGGTACATATGTTTTATATACATTATTAGCTACATTAAAAATGGTTTTCTCCTCACATTTCTTGCAGTTCCAGAATTGCATAGATATAAGATATGCATTTATTCAGAAACTAAACAAAAAAACTTTAGTATTCCTTCATTACAATGACCCTAATTCAAGTCCAGTGATAGACTGGAAAAGGTTGTTTCTTTTTCTATTATATATTTAAATTAAAAATAGGAAGATGTAGTTTCTACTAATGAGTTTTGTAGGGCTGTTTTAATATGATGTCCCTTAGGAGATTTCCTCACTCGGTGTGAAGGCTCCTAAGAGGTGCTTGTGCACCTGATTAATTCATAAATGGCACTGAGGGCTGCACATTTGCCCAATCCTAGTTAAATCATAGTAGGCAGCTATTCCTCTGTAGGATGCATTGCAAATTGTGATGCTCTTATTATACACCTAATTACAGCATTCTGCACCAGTCTGATTCTTTCCATAAATTTTTGTAAATGTGATGGCCATTTTAGAAGACAGAGATTGAGATTCACTAAAATGTCTTCAGTCTATAGGATTGCAATGCAACAATCACCTCTGATTCAAAGGAAAATTGTTCCAAAGTTCTAGGAAAAATATATATGTAAAATATGAAGAAATTAAAATACAATGAATTTTAAAATTAATTTGTTTTATAATTAATAATTAAACAGCTATCATGGAACTATAAGAGAAAAATATGAAAAAAGTTTGAATGGATAGCTGTAGCAGTTTTGTGGTGAGTACGAGTTTAAAAAATGTTTGTGTTTAGGAGTAAGGTACTTAACCATAGGTACTTCTATGGCTCATGGGGAATATTAATCCAACTTACTTTACTGAGTGTGAGAATTCATTGATTTTATGTATGCAAACTGCTTAGAACAGTGTCTGACACATATAAGTTCTATGTAAGCTCTTGTGTAGAGTCTTTTTGTTTTTGAAAGCTCTACCCAGTCTAACTCTCACCTAACATATATAGTTTTCCACTCTTTTGCTTTAGCTCAAACTAGTATTGAGCTACTGCTTTCTCCTACTATCCTTTGATGTTAATATTATTATTTTTAACGTTGTTCTAGCTGGGAGGTGGGGAGTTTTTTAAAAAAAATTAGGTAAGATGGGTTAGAGTTTCATTGATACAAATGTGAACAGGTAGTATACTTTTTTCCTAAATTTATAGCTGAAAAAAAATGGCCCAGTGTATACCTAGCATGTACTTCAAATTACTTGACTTCGAATATGCCTTTTATAATTTCTATTATATAAATCAATAGTGTTTATTAAAAATAACATATGTTGGCATATATAAGATAAATGTTCAAGTATCTTCTGAATCCCATCATCAACTCTGGGGACACCCAAGTTCTGTCTTCATAAGCTGGAAAACTTACACTAAACTGAATCTGTCATTCAACTCAGTCAACTAACAAATCAGTTTTATTATTATTATTTACCTGTTCCTTTTACCTAGATATCAGGTTCAGAACTATTTGAACCTGATGGCTAGTCCTTCAATATGTTCCTTTTATTCAGAAGCTCAAAGATGTCAAGTATATTGTATTTTTTAAAAAGTGAAAGGAGTATGTATATTATTATTGTATTAAATAAAACAAAGAAAATTGAAGCTCGGACAAGTTAAAAGGCTTATCACAGGTTTGACTAGTTAATGATATGGATAGAACACAGTACTTGCGATTCATGGACATTTTTTCTTCAGTTCTACATTTTATCATGAAGCACAAAATGACAGAAAAAAGGAACTATGAAAAAGCAAAAATATAAATATGAAAACACTTTTTTTCTGTTAATTCACCAATTACATAGTCACCTAGAATTTGAAACTTTTGAATGACCTTTCCCTCAGAGACAGCTGAATTGTTTCAAATAAGCTAAATGGACAAACAAACAAATAAACTCAGCCATACTGTGCTGACTTATATGGTCTAATGAGTATAATAGGAAATTTTTTTAAAAATTCTAGATAATGGTGATTTACATTTCATAACTCAGAGTTTTTCATTTATAAAATTATCTAGTTTATAAAAGACAATTGCCATTTAAAAATGCATTGAACGTACGTCACTTGGCCATCTTTTTTATTTTTATTTTTTTAATATTTCAGATCAGGGCATAAAGAAACTTCATCACTCAGTAAAGCTGTTCTGACCCCAGCCAAAACAAGGTAAAGAATTAAGTGGCTACATGTGTTAGTAGGATAAAATTGCCATTAATGTTGAATACACAGAATGATGCTCTGATCTCTTATTGGACAAAGAAGTGCATTGTATTTAGGATAAACAACATACTCGAGATAGTAGTCCATTGTGTGTATGGAGGCAGTGGTGATCATATTGACAGGGAGACTGGTAGGAAATGAATCCTACTATACCTTATTAAAGGGAAAAGAAAAGGTGTTTCTGTTGATATTCTACGCATCCCATTCACTAGTTATAGTAGAATGATATCTTGCTTAACTTTAGGTTAATGGTATCTAGTATTAACCTGAGAAATTGACTAATATTCAGAGTCAGTATAAACATAATTATAAAAAAATCAAGTGAGTCTAAACCAATATAATTATAAAATAAAAAGTACTTGTTTACTTCTCAAAAAATTTAAGGTGGTAGGATATGCAGGACATGAGTGAAACACAGCACTGCTTTATAAGGTTACCAAAATCTTTATAAATATTTTAGTTATTTTATTTATTTTTTAAAACAGGGTCTTACTCTTTCTAAAAATAAAAAAAATAAAACATTTATTTTATGGAATACAGAGGTGTTATCATGGCTCACTGCAACCTCAGTCTCCCGGGTTCAAGCAAGCCTCCCAAGTAGTTGGGACTACAGGCATGCATCAACACACCCAGTTAACGATTTTTGTTTTTATTGTTTATTTTTGTAGAGACAGAGTCTCACTTTGTTGCCCAGGCTGGTCTCAAGTTTTTGGCCTCAAATGATTCCCCTGCCTCAGCCTTCAAAGTGCTGGAATTATAGGTGTGAGCCACCACACCCAGCCTTTATAAATATTACTCATAAATTTTATTTCTAAAACTCACATTGCCTTCACGAAGACTGAGGATATGATGTATTAGATCTTAACTTCATCCGCTTATGAGTACCTACACCTCCTCAAGATGACACTACAGACTTGTTTTTTCTTTTTTTGATGGGTGGTGGATAGAAGGGGTGATTCTGTGTATGACATACTTAGTAATGGTTAGAACTAGAGATTCTAACAAATAACTAAAGCATGATTTTTTAAAAGCTTATCAAGTTATATAAAAAGTCATTTTTAAAAAACAAAAGTCATTCTTAGAACTGGAATTAATAAAATAAAAAAATTTCTTTGAGATAGTATAAAGCTTCCAGTGGATTCAGAATGTTTTTCCAAAATTAAGACAGATTTTCTACTAGTACAGTTATGTGCCACATAACGATGTTTTGATCAATAATGGGCTGCATATACTATGGTGGTCCCATAAGATGATCATACTGTATTTTTACTATAGCTTTTCTATGTTTAGGTATGTTTAGGTACATAAATGCTTACATTGTGTTATAGTACCATATTCAGCACTGTAACATGCCGTTCAGGTTTCTAGCATAGAAACAATAAATTATACCATATAGCCTAGGTATGTAGTAGGTTATACCATCCAGGTTTGTGCAAGTACACTCTTTGATGTTCATATAATGATGAAATAGCCTAACCAGGCATCTCTCAAAATGTAGCCCTATGGTTAAGCAACACATGACTGTATTTGAATTACAGTAAATACAGTATTAAATTTACAGTATTTACAGTATTAAAATTAATTTTATCTGTTTGTTTTCACTTTTTTAAATTTATTTTTTACTTTTTTAGCTTGGCCATAGGTAGCCATACAGTGTATACAAGGGAGGTATATGAAAGTTTCTAGGCCTCTCATGAGATGGAGAAGGGCCATAGAATAAGCTGTGTAGGACAATGAACCTGAAGGGATTTGGGTTTAGGATTTAAAGAAAAGAGAATTCACGACCCTGGTGACTGGTGGGCATGAATGCAGTAGGATTTGGGTGTCAATAATGTATACCTTTATGGGAATTGTGCAACTCAGAGTAGGTCAGATGCAAGGGGCAAGATAACTTCTCCCAGCCTTCCTGAATCACTTAAGGAGAGAAAGGATGAAACATCAGAAAAGGCAATATTTTGAAAGGGCAAATTTAAACTGAAAGCGACTGAGGATACCTTAATACAGCAGGATTCTGTAAAAATGGAGGGTCATGAGCTCTGTTAAGATATACAGAAATAAAGACATATAATTTTGCACATCTGAGGTTGTGACTATAAATCACACTTTGCATATGACATAAAAATTTAAAGAAATGATTAAGGAATGTTTTAACTCTCAAAATATCTTGGCTTAACTTTTAACGTATTCATTGCAGAAGAAGATTACCCTATCAGAACCTGTTATTTATTCTATAAAATTAAAACAAATAAGATAATTTTTTGATTAATGTCCAACTCAAGGTTTTTAATCCAAATAATATTTATTATGAATAAATGAAGAAACAGAGTCAATTAAAGCTTTGCAATCTGAAATCACAGAAATCATTCACAGCAAGGACTATGAACCTTGAACTTAGCAGTGTCTGGCAACAATAAGTGGGAATAAATGTTGTGATTGTCCTTACTGTCATCATCTCTCACCTCTAACCACCTTAGGAAGGAAGCAGAATATGTAGAGGTAGCCTCCTTGGTCTCATACATATGCCACTTAACGATAATGTTGTAGAAGGACTTGGAAGCAGGGTGTGAGAGGGAAGTTTAACTTGCCAGGTGATCTCTTATATGGGAGCTACTGATTCTCTTGTTGCTTGCTGACCCTAGAGCTACAGCACAGCCCTCATGCTATGATGGTAAGGAAGGGAAGGGACAACTCAAAGACACACATTTGAATCAGTTTTCAGTTGTATGAAGCCTTACATGCCTTCAACTTACCTAGTAATAAAGCCAACCTGTTACTTCTATTTACAATCATGGTTAAAAACTATTAGCATAAAGATAAATTTCATGGGCAAGAGGATTACAGAAATATCTCCATTCCTTCCCCAAACAACTAAGTTTCTGTCTGTTTCGACTGATGTTTATACAAGTGTTTGTGTGTCAATTTACCATCCTAAATATTATCTAATAGCTCTACTGAACTTTAGATAGAATACTACGGTAAAAATCTACTATATTAAAAATATTTGCATACAGCATTCCCCTACCCTGAAAATTTATGAATTTTTAATAAAATAGCTTAGATTTTATAGCCCACAGTTACAATTGTTCATAATCCTGGAATATTATTTAAAGGGAATTGAAATTATATGAAAACACTTAAGAGCAGAATTATATTTTCAGCTTTCTCGTTACTTTTTATATGTTAATTATTAATTTTACCATAATAAATGAAAAAAATGGTTAAGGTGAAAACTATAAGTAGCTATGTAAATGTATTTGTAAATTAACATGTTTACAAATGTATCCTGATAACTCAAGGTTTGTTTTTTTTAAAAAACTGTAATAATATGCATGTTGTTCTAGCACTATGACTTATAAATAGTTGTTTTAAGACAAAACAGCAACAAGAAGAATACTATGTAATTGTAATAAATTAGTAATAAATGGTGATAACAGCTAGGTCTCAAATCAGCAAAGTACATTTAGCTTCATGTACCAAAAAGTAATAAGTTTATGCATTTAAAAAACATTAAATGAAAAATAAAGTTTTTGAAATTTATTTTGGATTCTTTTCTAAAATGGGTAATTCAAACAATCTTTCCTCAATCTTTTTTTCTCTTGTGTGGCAAACGCATTCCTGACTATTCCTTTTAATTTTTTTTGTTTTTTTTTTTCAGCTGAATTTAACTTTATGCTGGGTATACAAAAATCAACAAAAGGCATTAGCTGTCCTGAAGTGTTTCACAATGAATAAGAAATATTATTTGATTACTTATTTTTATCTTCCCCAAATTGTAACAAATAATTTAAAGTAGCTTTTAAAAGATACATTATAATGGTATAACACAACTAAGAAATATGTAGGAATGATGAGAGGGAGAATAACAAGGATAATATAATATGTACATTATAATAGTATAATATAAGTAAACAATACATAAGGATGATGAAGGGGAGAATAAACAAGGATAATAAAATATAATTGGAAATACAAGCACATTAAAGACTTTCAGTGAACTCCTAAATTCTTTCAGTGAGATGTGTGTAAATAAATAAATATAATGTGTGATTAAGTAGCAATTGTAAAAAGTATGAATAGTAAACAGTACAAAGTTGAACTGTCAGAGTAAAGGGGATGAAGTGAATAACTCTGTAGCTAATTTTTGGGAGGTTTTACCTAAATCAATGTGATGTCCTAGAAGAGAGGATATCCAATTTCACTTTTGAAGGAATAAAGGAAGGAAGAGAAAGCACACTGAAGTAGAGGGATGGGATAATACATGCCGGATTGTGTGAGCATGAGGCATAGTATAGGACTGAGTAGCATATTTGAGAAGTCAAATGCTGGGTCTTAAAACAGAAGAAGAAACAGGCTGAGAGGTGAACATGGCAGCCGGCCAGATCTACAGTGCTTAAGTGTTTGTATTCGAAAAGTGTGGTGAAAGAAGCATCTCAAGGGCCCTGGTTTAAGGCGATGGCTTGGTTGAATGATTGTGAGGAGAAGGTGCTGTGAATCCATTATTGTTATTTTCAAGTTTTTATTATAAACGTTCAAACATATAAAGAGCGGAGAAAATTGTGAGCCTCCATGTAGTCACCCCCTTGATATTCAGGGCAAAGCTATTTCATCTATATTTTCACCCACCACTCCTTGTCTCACTCTAGCACTACCACTGGAATATTTTAAAGCAAATTCCAGACATTATATAATCAGAAAAAATAAGGACTTATAAAAACATAATGGGAAAACATAAAAAATAAACAATAATTCCTTAAGATCCTCTAACATCTAGTTAATGTTAAAACTTTTCCCATTAGTTATCCAAAAATTTGTAAAGACAATGTATTAAGGGCACATTTTGTTTTGCTCCAGTTATATCTGTGTATTTCACATAAAATTATATGTTTTTGGCCAAAATAATGAGAAAACATAAATGGATGTTTCAAGTGATAGTGACTTATAATGAAAATCTTGGACTATTTAAATTCTAGGATACAGGATTCAGTTAACAGCTAGGCTGAGAGGAACTATTACAGAATGAGTATCATCTGAACTTTTGTAAATGGAGAAAAGGTGATAGAACATTTCATTCATGAATGAATGAAAATGAATTTTGTAAATAATTTTATTACTTAGTGGAGAGCTAGAAATTGCTGGGATAGCCCCTATACCTATTTAGGAAAATAATTTCTGTAGCTGTAGCAAACAGATGAAATAGTTACTAAAATCAGTAAAAGTGAAGAAAGCAAAGGAACATAAACCAGACAAAATTATATTTCCAGGCCTAAATTTTTAAGCATTCTGTATATTGTCATTTGTTAAATCAGAAATAGGCATACACAGAGCTACAATTCAACATGCTTTTGTCTCTAACATAAATAAAGTTTGGGGCACTGCTCTGCAAATCAACCAGACTGGACCATGAGTTAGACATATACACATATCTGTATATATATATATGTATGTATAAAGAGGTGTCAGAGACTAATTGGAAAGTTATAGTTGGGCATGAATACATGTTAGAAATCTTAAAGTACAAAATGGTGAGAAGAATTAGGCTAGAAAAAACAGACTATTCTTTTACAGAAAATGCACAATGCTACAGGATAAAATTGCATTGTGCATAGATACATCACAAAACTCATTTGCTATTTATAATATTTATATCAGAATTCATAAATGATCTTATATGAGCTTCAATAGGTCTGCAAATGATTCCCTAACTTACAAGTTAAAGTGCTTATTATGCAGGAACAGATGAAAAAATGTAATAAAACTGCACACGGAACAAAGTCTGAGTCAATATATAGTTTAATTGCAACAGAAAATGTTTTTGACTATCATTGTTGCACCAACTAACTCGCCAATAATTTTTTCCTATATTAAAGGTAAAAAATAGTCTTTAAAGTGTACATTTTAAAGATTTTTCAACTTAAACAGGTTTGTTGGGCAAAAAAGTTATTTAGTAATCAAGAATGTGAAATCCTGCTTTTGAAATTATTCATCAAAACATATATGCACAAATTTCTTTATCAAAGAATGAAAAGAAATCTAAGCTCATCGATAAATCAACGTGTGCAAGTCATTGGCAACTATAGAGTCTTTGATTTTATTCTACAATGGCCAGCAGCGCTATGCACAGAGTAAACAATTGTTCCCAACTTCAGAAGCCTGCAGAGGTCAGTATAGCAACAGCAAGAAGACATCAGGTAGATGAGTTGATCAATACTGAAGGTGGACAGTTAGATTACATGATTATTATTCATACATACCAGCATCTTAAACATTAAAATAAAATTGGTAATAATTAGGATAGAATACTCTTTGTTTTGAGTAATTTGTCTTTATAAAATTTACATTTAAAGAAAATCAACATTTGGAAAATTATTCTGCTTTAAAAAGGTCGGGGTGGGGGAGACAGAATAAAAATTAAATTTAAAATAAAAGTAATTACCATTTTAAATAAAAATAAATGTACTTTATATATGCTGATGGATTTGAAAAATGTTCTGTTCTTTTGAACTGGGGATTGCATTCTTCACTCTTGATTCGCCATCTCCTGACACCTGTCAATAAAGCCCATTATTAACCTTGGCAAAGCTGAGATATTTTGACATTGGTATGTAAGTGAAACTTTTCTTATTTTACTAATATTCCATAAAATTCAAAGTAAAAATAATTCCAAATGAAACAATAGTTTTCAGGTACAATTTTCTATGCACACACTGAGAATATGTATTTTAAACCTGAACATGTAAATGTGCACAAATGTATACGTATACATTTATATTTCTGTTATTACAAAAACATTTTTACCATTTTGCTTTTGTGAAGATGAAAAATTGACAGGCTTTTGAAACTGCACTCTGTTGTCCAGAAACTGGCTTCTCCATGATGACCTACCAGTGACCTTTGTCATGACACTGAAGGACTACCCTCTCCAGGGGTAAGAAGTAATTCAACTTCAATAGTTCCCCTGCTCTAGACATGTATAAAACAGACAGTATAAACATATACCGTAGGTTTATTTTGGCTCCAGTTAAGCTGACACCATCAAACTCATTTAGTTTAGAACTTTCAGACGTGGTTTCAGTATCAGCTCTCTGCTGTAATTCAGAAGGTTAAAGAAAAGCTAGCTAAAACCTACACTGGCCTTCTGCTGGGACAGCAGTTTGAAGCAAGTTCCTCATACTTTTAATGCCACAAGCACCACTGTTTTTCTGATGTGTGCCTTAATGACAGTATACAGACGGGCAAAGTCAAAAGAGTTTTCAGTTTCAGAATATACGTAGGTAGAAAGCCAGATGAAAAAGGGAAGATTTTGAAAAAAGTTATCTATTTACTTTTTACAATTTAAACATTACTTTTCCCTAAATGCTCATCGGTAGGCAAATGTGCAGAAAAAGTCAAGGAAGTACACATACAAACAATAAATTTTTACTGTTCAAAATTAAATGTGTTCTATTTTTTTGCTTTTATATTTCTTGCAGTTTTTACCTAAAATTTAAAAATTCCTGAACATCTCAGCTTTCTTTTAATATGCCACATTCTCTAATTAATGTCACTACAATGGACCCTTTGAAGCCTATGAAGTAGGCAAAAATAAATAACCTTACAGTGGATAAAAAAATAAATTTAATAATACTAATTAAAAGCCAGATATGACATTCTATATCCTACAAATCATTGAATTTATATAAACTGATTATTATTAGGCCGCTAAGAAAACCTAAGAAAACTCAAAATACAGAAGTCATTTAGGATGTTACTTTACCACGATGCATAAAATAAAAAATTAATAGCAAAGTACAAGTTTAATGAGTCACTTGTAATTTTTTTTTAAAAAACTCACCTAAATAATGCAAAGATCAAAGGGAATGTCAAACTTAAAATTATTAATTTTAAAAATGGCAATAACTGGATGACTACAAAACAAAATTTATGACACGCATCCAAAACTACAAAAATTTAGAGATGCAAATGCTTAAGTTTAAGAATAAGTAAAAATACTAATTCAAAGAGTTGGACAAAGAAAAATAACTGGAGTTTTAAAAAAGGAAAAAGTAATAAAATTTTGAAAATTGAAAATGGCAAAATTAACAAGTCACACGAAGATAATGTTGTTTAGAGAAAACTAAGCTATCTGATAAACATCCCAAAGATGACAAATTAACCCCTGTAATTTGTCAATATATGGCAAAGTGACTTATTGGCAAAAATGATTTCGGAGGCGTGATCATGGACTATCCAAGTGGGCTCAGTGTAATCACAGGGTTCCTAATAAGAGGGGGACAGTAGAGTCTGAGGCAGAAAAGATGATATAAGGAGTGAAGCAAAGGTCAAAGAGGAGAGAAGATGTATGCTGCTGGTTTTGAAGATGGAGGAAGCAGCTATGAGCCAAGGAGTAGGGAACCATCCTGGGGATGGAAAAGGAGAGGAAATTGATCTCCTCCAGAACCTCCAAAAGGAACACAGGCCTCTGGATACATTTTAGACCTGTGACATAATTATACACATATAGATATATAAAATAATTTATATATTATATGTAATAAAATATAACACGGTATGTAATTCATATTAAGTTATATTGTTATATATATAGTAAAATTGTTGCATAATAAAATTGTGTTGCTTTAAGCCACTAAACTTTTAGCAATTTGTTAGAGTGGCAATAGGATACTAATACAGCTAATAAGGGAAAGGAAAAAAATCATAAGAATTTAAAATAAGGTTGAACATCAAACAATATGTATGAATGTTGATGAAATTAGTAGATTAGTAAATGATTCAATGCTAATCACTTCGAAAATCTGAAAACAAAACAAAACAAAACAAGAATCTCCTGAAATGATACAAAAATCTGGGTAGGAAAGTATGCAAAAATATATGGTACACTTTTACTTCTAAATCTAGATACAAACATTACAAAATCAATTCAGAGTAAATACAAAAACAAACTAAAAGAGTCTACTATGATCTATTAACATTTTAAGCCCCATAATAATCTCATGAGAAAAATAACTTTTCAATCCTCATTTTATAGGTGAAGAAAGTGAAATAATAGGCCAAATATACATGGCTAATAACTTTTAGAACAAGTATGTAAACACAAAGAGTTTGATTTTAATGTTTATGCTTTGACATTTTTATTCCAGAAATGCAAGGATGGATCAAAATAGACAAATCAATTTTGGTAAATCATTAAATCAATCAATAATTAAAAAATAAACATCTTCATTTTGTTGTATTTCAAAAACAATTTTGATGAAATCCAATATCCCTTTCTAAAGCAAATTGGTACAAACTAAGAAGAAAAAAAAACAGTATTGTAAAGAAGACTTATTCCAACAATAACCAGCATGTTACCGGACTTTAAAACATTGAAAATATTTCTGTTAAAATTTGAAACAAGAATAAGATATGGATTTCTATTTATCACTGTTATTCAGTATCATTCTTAAATTTCTAGAGAATGCAATAAAGGAAGAAAAAATGAAATGTAAATATTAGACAGGAAGAAATAAAATTATCATTACTAGGTATCATACAATTATTGAGAAAACCCAAATTAATTGATTAAAATAGACCTAATAAGCAGGATCAGTAATGTGGTCCATTAACAAAAAAACATGTATTTTCAATATATCACTATAAAAGTTGAGTCAATACAATTAGAAAAACTATTTTATTCACAAAGTAGCAAAAATATGTAATGCCTACAAATGATTATAAAATGAAAACATGCTCCAGACCTATTTGAAAAACATTAGTAAATATTTGAAAAGAAAAAAGTACTTCAATAATTGTTTTCCTGAATTAGAAATCTATTAAATCTAAGACTATAATTCCCCAAGATAATTTGTAAATCCAATGAAATTTTTAAAATAATAATATACAATTTTTATTAAATGCTTTGTTCTAGGATAGAAATCATGTTAGGTTATGTATGTATATGTATGCAAGCATATTTAAGATTTAGAATATCTTAATTGTTAGGTATTATTATTATTTGCAGATAAGTAAATTGAAGTTAAGTGGATGATACAAGATTAAACATCACGTAATTGGTAGATTCAGAACTCAATCTCAGGCAGTCCAATTCCAGATTCTCCCTCTTTAACACCTTGGACCACAGCTCAAACAAAACTCTTATACAAAATTTGGGGAAATTTTATAAAATGATTCTAAATTTATGTGTAAGATGAAATTTATGAGAATAGCACAGATAATTATGGAAAAATGTAGCTTATTCTAAGTTGTAATTTACTTTTAAGTGTTAAAATGCATTGTAAAATTTCAGTAATTCATAGTGAATACCAGTACAAGAAACAGAAAAGGAAACTTACCATTCAACCTAAACATCAACAAAAGAATATTTGTTGATAAATTTAGGATAAGTTTAGGATAAGTTGATAAGTTTAGGATAAAGATGGAATTTCAAATTACTGCAAATTGATGAAGTATTTGCTAAAGAGTCCCTGGGACAATTATTTATTTTCTAAACCACAATTAGATTCCTAATGCACCATGTTTCAATATATAATCAAGATTAAAGAATTAAATATAGCATATGAATCTTCAAAAGAGCAAGAAAAAATATAGGCACGTATTTATGTGATTTTACAACAAAAAGGTCTTTAAAAATAAAAGAAAAATAAACATATTTGAGTATATATCATTCTGAACTTTTGTATATAAATCAATATTAGAAACAAAATGGTAAGTCACAAATTGAAAAAGTATGTTAATATACTTGATCAATGACTAATAATATGTAAATAATTATTGCACACTAATATTAACATAAGCAATATTAAAAGAAATCCAATTACAAAACAGGCTATTAAAATAAAAGTAAATGTCTAATAAACATATAAAATTATTCAGCCTCATTTTTAATCTGTGAAAGCTAAATTTAACATACAGCATCCCCTCCCCCACAGAAGAGTTTGGTTGAATGCCTAGTAATTTATCTTATAGGCCTCATCAGTATGTCCCCATGCAAAAATTTCTTCAGTGGAGTGCGATCAAGATGCCCCTGATATAAATTTGGCCATTTAAAAATAGACTCATGAAACTGAGCATGTAAATTTTATTTTTTGTATGGAAACAGCCATTCTCATCAGTAGAATTTTACCCTAAGGTTAAAAACAATTTTTACTGATCCCTTTTAGTATTCTAGAGCTGGTGCACACATGTAAGCCTGGGATTTAAAACATTGTATTACTGGGTTAATGCTAAGCTTATTTTTAATTTACTATACTTTCTTGAATTTTATTTCATATTGTTGGAGTACAGGCTCAAGTAAAGTTCTTGCCTTTTCACTTTTTCTTCTGTTCCTTTCTCTGTGTTTCTTTACTCTATTTCCCCCATACCAGGGTACATTTGCTGTGACGCAAGCCTTTGAGATGCTGAACAAAAGGTCACGATACACTATCTTTAGTCAAGGAACCATAAACATTAATCTCCCCACTCCACTTCTATCACATTAAGAAAGATTTTTTCAAATAAAATTTTGTTTTTGTTAATTATTTCCAAAATTTTGATCAATTATGTACTAATAATAATTTTAAAGGCTAATCTGGCTAATTTTTTAAAGCTTAAAGTCACAAAAATTTTAAACATATACTTTCATTTTAATCAATGTGCGTAATTTTTAACTAAATATAAGGGATAATTAAAAATATTTATTATAAATTGGGATACTGTTATTTCAGGTAAGTGAAAATAACATTGGAAAGGAAAAAGGAGCAATGTAAAATTTCTGACTGGTAATGAAAAGTTTAGTTTACATTTACAAGTAACAGCTTTATTGTGACAAAATTTATATATCATGAAATCCTTCCTTTTGATTATTCAATTCGATTTTTAGAATATTCAGAGTTGTGCAAGCAATTCCCCTGTATAATTTTAATCATTTTCGTGCCTGTGAAGAAAAAAGTTGTGCCCATTAGCAGTCATATTATGTTCTATTCCTTTCTCTCCCTTGGAATCAACTTTCTGACTCTTTCAATTTTCCTATTCTGAATATTTCACAGAAATGAAATCATCCATATGTGATCTTACTGACTGGCTTCTTTCACTTAGCATGGTCTTTTCAAGTTTTACCCATGTTGCAGCATAAATCAGTTCTTCATTTCTTTTTATAGCCAAATAATGTTCCATTTTATACATTTTCACATTTTATTTGTTAATCAGTTGATGGACTCTTAGGCTGTTTCCACTTTGGGGGTTACTATAAATGATGCTGTATGTATATTTTTCCACAAGTCTTTGCATGAAAATTTGTTTTCATTTCTCTTGGGAATATACCTACTAGTGGAATTTCTGACTTTATTGTCTGTAATTATGTGTTTAATATTTTAAGGAGCTTCCAAAATGTTTTCCAAAGAAGTTACACTTTGACAATTCTACCAGAAATGTAGGAGAGTGCCAATTTCTTCACATCCTTGTCAAAATTTATTAATGTCTCCCTTTTTAATTTTAGCCATCCCAGTGAGTGTAAAGTGGTATTTCATTGTGGTTTTGATTTTAATTTTCCTAATGACCAGTGATGCTGAGCATCTGTTATGGATTTGTGTCCCCCAAAATCTGTGTGTTGAATTCTAATTTCAATGTGATGATATTTGGAAGTGGGAACTTTGGGAGGTAATTAGGTCATCAGGGTAGATTTTAGTGTCCTTTTGAGAAGAGGCCAGCAGGGTAGCTCATCCACTTTCTGCCATGTGAGGCTACAAGAAGTCAGGAGTCTGCAACCTGAAAGAATGCCCTCAAACCAACCATGCTGGCACCCTGATCTCACACTTCCTGCCTCCAGAACTATGAGAAATAAAATTCTGTTGTTTATAATTCACCAGTTTGTAGTTATAGCAGTCCCCAGACTGACTTAGACAGCATCTTTTCATGAGCTTACCAGCCATTGGTATATCTTCTTTCAAAGATACATAAATATACAAAAAGATATACAAAATGGGCATAGGATTTGAATATCTATTTTAATATCTATTTAAATCCTGTGCGCATTTTAAATTTGGAAATTTAGAATATTATTTGCCTCATATTATTTTTAAAAAGTATTATATGTTTTTTAAATTGACAAATTATAATTACATATATTTATAGGATGCAATGTGATATTATGATACATGCACATATGTGAAATAATTAAGAAAACTTGTTTTCAGAATTGCTTACATATTTTGGATATTAACCTCTTACCAGATGTGTGGTTTGAAAATATTTTATCTCAATCCACAGGTTGTCTATGTGCTTTGAGGTACGCTTCAACATTCTAACAGGCAGACTACAATTCCGCCTTAGCCACCACTTCTTGCTTGTGAAGAGCCTCAAGGTCAGCTAGAGGTGAAAGACTGGGGCACTCTTAGCTCTTTTCTTAAGATGTGCACAACTCTGCACACGTGCTTGGCATTCTAGATTCCCAGGAATAGGTCAGAGCTCTTCAGAGCCACCTACGGAGATACCATTCCCCAGGTTTTCCTTTTAAAATTTTTGGTCAGCTTCTTGTTAGCACCAGGTACTATCTCCACCTCAGTCGGCATCAATGTTAAATCATTGCCACTGATTACTTGCAACAAATTATGTAAGGACATGGCTATTCACGCTTTCCAAATTGCCATGGACCTAAAGAGAGGAGAATGGGAATAGAGCAAGTTAAAATGTCACAAAGTTCATGGTCCTTACCGATATTTAGTAATTTTTTTTCTTTCCCTCTCTCTTCTTTTTTTCTTTTTTTTTTTTTTTTTGAAACAGGATCTCACTCTGTTGCTCAAGTTGGAGTACAGTGGTGCTATCTTAGCTCACTGCAACCTCAAACTCCTGGTCACAAGTGATCCTCCAACCTCAGCCTCCTGAGTAGCTGGGACTACAAGTGCATGCCACCATGCCCATCTAATTTTTAATTTTTTGCAGAGACGGGGGTCTCACTTTGTTGACTAGCCTGGTCTCAAACTCCTGGCCTCAAGTGATACTCAGTCATTTTTCTTGAATAAATATTTCTTAGATTGTTGTAAACCTTCAGTGAATTTCCAAGTTTCTGAAAAAGTTGGTTTTGATTATTTTTGCCACTGTTCTTCTTGTTTCTGTGGGGTTGCAGAATTTTCACAGGTCCTATTTCACCATCCTCCAGGTACTTCTCTTAATTTACTTTTAACATGTTGTTCTATTAAGTTTAAATTGATTTAAGCTCTATTTAAACTGTGATATTTAGAATATGCTAGAAATTACACAATTTGCATCTGCTATTTATTTATTTATTTATTTATTTATTTATTTATTTATTTATTTTGAGACAGGGTCTTACCCTGTCAGCCAGGCTGGAGTGCAGTGATGAGACCATAGCTAACTGTAGCCTCAACCTTCTGGGCTCAAGCAATCCTTCCATCTCAACCTGCCAATTAGCTGGGCCCAAGAATGTGCCACCATGCCTGGATTTTTTTTTTATTTGCAGCTGCTTAAATTTATGAAAATTTTTAAAAATACTTACATGAAAACAGAAACTTCCAATGTAGTACACAGATTTTTATAATTCTTTTAGAACTAAATCACCACCAACACACGTTTGAAGGCTACCTTAATAGAAAATTAGTTTGAAGTAACCATTTGAAAGGGATAAGAAGACCTAAAGTCATTATCTAGACTGGGACAGCAAAACTCAGTTCTTTTAAAAACTCTATACGAAGATGACAATGTTGAAAGACACATATGAGATATGAGTCCAGACAGAAAAATAAATGATGAAATCAGGGGAGATAGAGAGGAGGGGATAACCACTGTTGGCAATGGAGCCTATAGAGACAGGCAAGGGAGAAATTCCTCTTGGCAGATGGGCAAATGCCTTTCAAGAAAATTGATTTCCAAAAATCAATATTAATATTTGTTAGATGTGAATAGCCAAACTCTCAACTAAGTCTTTATCATAAAACTCCATATGTAAAACACACAAAACAAAACCAAAAATGGTAAAGTGAGAGCCAGCACATACACACTTGTAGCATTCTCCAGAGGGTTTTTTTTTTTCACCCTGTTATCCCAAGTGTTTCACTGTCTTCCAGGCATACCATACAGCTTGATAACCAAATTGGATAGAGAGTTTGTATCCTCTCACTTGGGAAGATGTGATATTTCTGTAGCATGTTTTAGAACCCTATGACCAGAACACAGTGGTTGGTTGAGGATTGCAAATGATGCCACTTTGAAACCTAAGAACAATTACAATGAATTTGAGGAACTTCAGTATTAATTTAACATTGATTTCCATGAACTGATGCTACTTCCTTGAAAGGTTTTGGCAGGGAGTACATGTAGTGTGATTCTTGTGCTTAGAACCTACTTCTTTTTTTTTTTTAATTTATTTATTTATTATCATTATTCTTTAAGTTTTAGGGTACATGTGCACAATGTGCAGGTTAGTTACATATGTATACATGTGCCACGCTGGTGCGCTGCACCCACTAACTCGTCATCTAGCATTAGGTATATCTCCCAATGCTATCTCTCCCCTCTCCCCCCCACCCCACAACAGTCCCCAGAGTGTGATGTTTCCCTTCCTGTGTCCATGTGTTCTCATTGTTCAATTCCCACCTATGAGTGAGAATATGCGGTGTTTGGTTTTTTGTTCTTGAGATAGTTTACTGAGAATGATGCTTTCCAATTTCATCCATGTCCCTACAAAGGACATGAACTCATCATTTTTTATGGCTGCATAGTATTCCATGGTGTATATGTGCCACATTTTCTTAATCCAGTCTATCATTGTTGGACATTTGGGTTGGTTCCAAGTCTTTGCTATTGTGAATAATGCTGCAATAAACATATGTGTGCATATGTCTTTATAGCAGCATGATTTATAGTCCTTTGGGTATATACCCAGTAATGGGATGGCTGGGTCAAATGGTATTTCTAGTTCTAGATCCCTGAGGAATCGCCACACTGACTTCCACAATGGTTGAACTAGTTTACAGTCCCACCAACAGTGTAAAAGTGTTCCTATTTCTCCACATCCTCTCCAGCACCTGTTGTTTCCTGACTTTTTAATGATCGCCATTCTAACTGGTGTGAGATGGTATCTCATTGTGGTTTTGATTTGCATTTCTCTGATGGCCAGTGATGGTGAGCATTTTTTCATGTGTTTTTTGGCTGCGTAAATGTCTTCTTTTGAAAAGTATCTGTTCATGTCCTTCGCCCACTTTTTGATGGGGTTGTTTGTTTTTTTCTTGTAAATTTCTTTGAGTTCATTGTAGATTCTGGATATTAGCCCTTTGTCAGATGAGTAGGTTGCGAAAATTTTCTCCCATTTTGTAGGTTGCCTGTTCACTCCGATGGTAGTTTCTTTTGCTGTGCAGAAGCTCTTTAGTTTAATTAGATCCCATTTGTCAATTTTGTCTTTTGTTGCCATTGCTTTTGGTGTTTTAGACATGAAGTCCTTGCCCATGCCTATGTCCTGAATGGTAATGCCTAGGTTTTCTTCCAGGGTTTTTATGGTTTTAGGTCAAACGTTTAAGTCTTTAATCCATCTTGAATTGATTTTTGTATAAGGTGTAAGGAAGGGATCCAGTTTCAGCTTTCTACATATGGCTAGCCAGTTTTCCCAGCACCATTTATTAAATAGGAAATCCTTTCCCCATTGCTTGTACTTCTTAACAAAGCAACACACACTAGAAGAAAGACATTCTTTGATGGATCTTTTTGAGGAAGATTCCATTTCAACTCCATCTATAACTATATCCCTGAAATCACATAAACAAGACTTCACAATATACGTTATGCTCCAAGATTGAAATTAGTTACTTTGGTTCTCCTTTTTGACTCCCAGAAGATGGACTAAATCCAAGAACCACTGTGCCTCTGCCTTGCGGAAGTGCAGTTTCAGTGCATCCAACAAAATAATCCTGGAACACCAGCAGAGCCACAGAGAATCAAAAACATTTTGGGAATAGTAAGTGAGATCCCTTAATGATTTCTCTCTAAAGTGAGATCCCTTAATGATTTCTCTCTAAAGTTCTTAGCCATGGAAAATCCATTTTTCTGATCTCTACTGTCAAAAAGAATAATAGATAATAAATCTAAACCTATATTTGGTGGGAAAACATTTTCCTCTCTTTTCTCTAGATATAAAGCAATTAAGTTCTACTGTATGTACTTTTCTGTAGCCTTGGCACTTCTGTAAAAATTTTCACCATAATGTAAATTAGATGAATTTAACTTTCCATTGAGTGATTTACAGCATGCAAATACTTCAATGTATCTGAGAATAAAATTAAACGGCTAGCCACACACTTTCCTTTAAACCTGAACATTTTGTTGAAAAGTAAATATAAAATATGTTTCTTCAAAGTCTCTAGTAAATAATTTTAGATATAGCATTCATTTCATGCATTGTCCCCTTCGTGGCTTTGAAATATCCACTATAGGCCAAGCACAGTGGCTCACCTCTATAATCCCAGCACTTTGGGAGGCTGAGGCAGGTGGAACACGAGGTCAGGAGATTGAGACCATCCTGGCTAACACGGTGTAACCCCATTTCTGCTAAAAACACACAAAAAATTAGACAGGTGTGGTGGTGGGTGCCTGTAGTCCCAGCTACTCGGGAGGCTGAGGCAAGAGAATGGCATGAACCCGGGAGGCGGAGCTTGTAGTGAGCGGAGATCAGGCCACTGCACACCAGCCTGGTCAACAGAGCGAGACTCCATCTCAAAAAAAAAAAAAAAGAAAGAAATATCCACTATATTCCCCCGCACAATCTTCACTAGAATGCAAATTCACGTGCTTGTGCACTCACGAGTTAATATTTTGCTCAGCTTGTTCCTTTAATCTGAATGTTTTCCCCTTAAATATTAAATCTTACTTATCCCTCAAGTTTTCTTCCATAAATTCTTTTCTCATTCTCCTTGTACTTTTGTCAAAATGTTGCTTGCACTTGTGTTTGAATTAATTTCCTTTGACATGATATTTTTTATTAAGTCAGTTGGAACCTATCTCCCCTACTAATGCAAAACTCCTTGGGAGCAGAGATTATCTCTCATTTATTTAACATTCTCAGCAACTGGTCCCTAAATATTTGGTATTTTCCATTAGAGAAAAAAGACAAACGTCTAGACTTCCATGGAAAGCTAATGCAGAAAAAAACAAATCTAATGACTCGTTGTTTTTACTATTTGTATTAAGAGTTTACAAAGAAAAATTCAAGGAAAATCAAGAGGGAAAAACACTAGACTGATATCTATGTAGTACTGAACTTAAATTTCATAAAGTCTTTAGCTACGTGCAAATTTGCTACAGTCTTTGGGTAGCAAAGATTTTAACAGTATGTCTAAGGTTTTGAGTAATTGAACTAAGTTGGCAGGTTACTTTAATTAAACTAATTTGCATATTATTTTAAGTTAGATTCTTACTTGGTGTCTACAAAACCAATAATAAAGGAAATTGATTGAACTTTTCAACTTTTCACTGTTTATTTAGAGATTGTATAGACATAGCCAAAAGGAAATCTCTCCAAAACTACCTCAAAGAAATATTTCTGCAACTGCATAAGATCATGAGAAAATAAATCCCCTCTGTTCTCAAATAACACTTTAAAGTTATAAAAGTAGAGTGTGGGGAAATCAGCTCAGCCATGGATTATCAAAACAACAGAAATATAAACCAGGTATCAATTTATAATATTTGCCGAAACAAATTGACTCTGATTCAAACTGTCAGCTAGGTTCTTTGACACTGAAAATAAAATACCAAACATGTACTAATGTAGAAAACTTTAGCAATGAAAAGCATGACCCTCCTTTTTATACCATTATTTTAATATGAACTGAAATGGTTGATAAAGTTCAAATCGTTGTTTCTTTTTTGCATGAATTCAATACTGAGTTAAAGTGTTTTCAGTTTTCACATACCTTTTCTACTGATGCATGTATGTTATACTTTGTAGAAATCATTTTTCAGGCATTCCTAATTAATTCTACTGGAATCTGGAAGTGGATTGCTCTCACTCTGTTCCCTTTGAAAAGATTGATTGGTCTGACATAATCTGGACCTTGGTTGGATGAACAAATTTCTTTTTTGTTTGTTGTTTGTCCTAAAAAGTTTCATTCATATGGCTAATTTAGTTCCAAAATTAAAAACTTATGTAACAAAGAGATTGGAGGAGGTTCAGGTACAATAAGTTAAAAACAAAAAATGTAGTATTTATGAGTATGTGCAAATTAGAGTAATGTGCCAGAATGGGGTTGTGTACCCAATGAATTAGCGTGAAAGAGGGGCCCATGCCCTTGGATGATGCTGGTTTATGACTGCTTACACTGTGTTGAGGCACTTCCAACTGAACTATTTAACCCAGGGTGGTGACCTGTGGTCCCTGAGATCCTAAGTAGTCCTATGGATAGGAATCCATTCTGGATTCCTGTGTCCTCCATTTCCCCACCCATATATCATGGACTGGTTTGAAAGAATGAAGCAAAGGCCTTACAAATGCCTAAAGACCAGAAATTCTGTCAAGGGGAAAAAGAAATGGAAAAAGAGAAGAAAGAGAATAAATCCCCAAATCCCTGCACATGCAACTACTGTCTTATTTTTTTTCCACTTCTGAAAAAGATGAGTCAAATAAGAGCCCATTTAAAACCACATGAGTAAAGACGAAGTTGTGTGTTTTTCACATGCTTCAGAACAGACAGAGGGATGAAAATGAGGGCAAGTTCCCTATAGTCAAACATGCCCAGAAGTAGCAAACTTTGACTTAGCCACGAGCCAAATAAGCTGCTCCTGAATAATCAGGTCTTGGATTAAATCCGTAGAGATGTCCTTTTTATGTGTGTGAGGTGGACTTTTGATTTCATCTCTGGGATGAAGTTTGAAGTTATTTTGTGACTCTGGCATAGAAAATGAAGGAAACCCTTGTAATGGATGGCTCATGTAGCCTTATGAGTATGTGTTTAACTCCCTCATGTGCATTACATTTTGAATTATTACCACTTGAGAGTCACAAGGTTTCATCTACAGCACTTAAGCCATAGTGTGAACAGGCTTTCTAAACTCAATCCACCAGGCAAGTGTCACTTTAATACTTGAGTACTTAAATACAAATATTATACCAGAAATTAGAGCATTTTGATTCTCTTTCTCTTGCTTCTATCACATTAAATGAGCGGACATGATAAAATCCCTATATTATATATCAAAGAATAATTTTTGAATTCATAAAAAAGAAAAATAGCCAAAATTTAGCTCATGTCTTTTTGCAGAGGAAAGAAAGTTCCACAAGGCCAGCTCTTATCTATGCATATGATGTAAAATGTGTCAGAGGTAGAAAAACATAGATGTTCAATCAACACTGACACCATGACGCTGAGTGTAATTCGTCCCTTTCCTTCTCACCTGGGCTTACCATATTGGACTGATAAACTTACATGGATTTTTTCATGTCTTTCTCAAGGTGGATGGTTCCCCATAAACAGTTCCATCCAAATTGCCCACCATTAAAAATACTGTATGAATTCCAAGCATTTAAGCTTTCTTTTAAACTCTTAAGTGTTTTCGGTTCTACTTTTGCCAGAGATTAATCTTTCTGGGTGTGTCCTAAAAGAAACCAGGAAACTTCAGAATTTGTTCTAACCCTCTTGTGGTCTGCAATAAGGTTCTGAAAAGGGAATAGCAATATATAAGACCAATTCAGGAAGGTGAATTTTTAAAATAGCAAATTCCAGCACACACTTTCATAATAAAAACCTGAGTGACCAAACCAGGACTACAATCTTTTTTAGCCCAAGCAAGTTTCATTAATGAAATGTCTGAAGCTGTAGAAAAGTGACACTTTCCATAAGTTGTTATGGAAGCAGAATGGCTCTGGAAATTTATTATTTGGCAGAATTTTGTCTCCAATAATATTTGTCTCCATTTGTCCATGTGAGAAGATATGTTTGATCAGTTATTAAGAAGAGTAGAGATTGTGTAATATGGGGCAAAAGTAAATGCAGCAGAAATATTAATAAGGACATTTAAATTATTATGCAAAATATATTTTGCAAAATACACAGATAACTGCTAAGGTCATCGGCAGAACTAATAAATTTCAACCCAAAATTTGCATGGAAGGGTATTTTGCATGAATGTGTGCTGCTCTTAATTTAATAGCCTGACCTCAGCAATAGAAATAATAATGCTTGCCATTATAGGAAAGTTAAACAAAGAGGCAGTCGTCATACTTTTTGAAAAGATGAAATAACAGATCAACACTAATTTTGATTTTTTTAGTGGCAGAGATTTTACTTCTGATAAAAAAAAATAGTCCCCAGCTTTCAGAAGAGAATTTCTTAATTAATGACTCATTGTAAAAACATATTATTTATTTCATTAATTTTTTATTTTATTATAATTTTTTACTTTAAGTTCTGGGACACATGTGCAGAACGTGCAGGTTTTTTACGTAGGTATACGTGTGCCATGGTGGTTTGCTACACCTATCAACATGTCACCTAGGTTATAAGCCCTGCATGCATTAGCTATTTATCCTGATGCTCTTCCTCCCCTCACCACCCCCTCCCTGACAGGCCCTGGTATGTGTTGTTCCCCTCCCTGTGTCCATGTGTTCTCATCAAAACAGATCTTTTTTTAAAGCATAGTAATAGTGAGACACATCCTTACACAGTCTTACCTTTTTCTTCTTCTTTGTTCCTTTGTCAGAAAGTAGGAGCACCCTGTTAGGTATTTCGGTATGGGTTCTAGAATAACCCTGTATTTAGTCCCTACGGTAACAATCTGTGATAGTATTACCATTCTTAATCATTGCTCAATCAAAAAATGCCACACTCTGTCTAGAAACGTACATTTTATCTGTGTATACACAAGATCAAACAAAACAATAACTGACAAAAGATCAATATAATAATGACCCAAGATAAATTTCTACGGCAAAATCATTTTTTGTAACTCTAAGAGTAGAATTATTCTCTTGGGTTAAAATTATGCAGCCCTTAAATAACTCTGAGTAAATGAATTAGGTGTCATTAAGAGATTTCTTAAAAGTTTTCATTAGCTGTAAAATAAAATAGCTTTAAGCTTTAGAATGTTCTACTCAGTTGGAGACTCTCATGTCTGTGATACTCTGGTGACAATTTCTATTCTAAGTGTCAAAAACAACTCTGCTATCTGGAACAAGTCGTGTAGTATTCTCTCCTTTTAATATTCTAATCGTGAGGTGTGAAGTGAAATGGTTGCACAGTGTAATGGTGGTAAAGAAGTGGAGTGTCAATGAGACGGGGAAGGTGACAGACTCAGAATAGGTCCCCGAGGTGCTCTCCAAGTGCACTGGATAAAGATTCCCCTGGGAAAATTTTCTCATTAGTTCTCAGACACAGTTCAGTAATTCAATAGCACCAGGTTACCATTAGTCACAAGACCAAAATATGTTACTTTCCATGCTTTAGTTCCTTTATTTGTATATGTCATTTTCAGGCTGAAAATTATGAGCCCTTCTCTCCCACAAAGCCAGTCAGTAAGTTGTTTACATATTGAAGCATGATACATGATAAGCAGATTCTGTAGACCCTTTTTCCATTGTTTATTTATGAAGCAAATTCAAAGGGAAAAAGACATTTAAAATGAATCTAATTATACTTCCTTAACCAACTGTCAATTATTTTCTGCCAGAATTATTAAACACACACCTTCACACACATGCACACATATTTTCATAAAAAACTAGGGAGCATTCAGACATAGTTGTTAAAGATCACACATTCAAAAAGCTTTCTCATCCTTATTTATGCCACTCATAGAGTAAACTTTCATCACTGTTTAAAGGGAGACTATTTTTAAAGCCAATCATTCTCCAGTAACTGTATTATCTGCTTCAGAAATTATAAAGTTTTTCTTTCCAAAATTAGAACATATTGAATCATGTACTACATGTGCAAATATAAAATAGTCACATTTTATACTACAACAGAAGAGAAATTCAGAGACCCTGGATGTTAGTTAATTTTCTATGTAATTACTCAGTAGAGATGTTAAAATGCATAGACTATAATTCTACATGTTTTATTTTTCACTGTCATAAAGGATAGCTTTTTCTATGCTTTGAAAGCTAACTGTACTCCCACTTCACAATTGAAGGCCTAATGGGTTAGGGGGTTGTCTACCTCATTACTCACTAAGTCAGGAGAAAAGGAGTATCGACTCCAGTTGGTCTTTGAAATCCTCCTAGTTACATTAGGGAAGCAATAATAAAATCCGTGAAAATGAAAATTAGTTGCTACATTAACAGATTGTTGTAGATTTGTGTGTTTTATAAGACACCTCATAGTATTTTACTTTGCAGATTTTGCAAAGCTTGTCGTTCTTGTGTTTAAGGGGCAACTAGTATGTAGCTTTGCAAAAAAAGTACTCCATTTGCTTTGTAACATATCCTAGTAAGAACACAATTTAAATGCATCCATCAAAACCACCATAACAGAATGAAAGCAGATGCTAATCTTCAGTAATGCAAACTACGTGTTTTTACAGCAACGCAAAGCAATAAGTAAACTGCAATGGAAGTTTACTAGAAATAACAATGAGACATAGAAGAGAATAAACTTTAACAAATGAATTTGTCAAAAACACTTTCTAATAAAAACATAGTCCTATCAAAACAGTAATGATCAGGATTGCAAACAAACCATCAATTGCTTCTGCTTATGTGTTACCCATAGAGTTATTGTTGAACTATGAATTGTAAATATTTATAAGTGATTCATATTAAAGAAGTTGTCAGCTGCAGCTACAGTTCTTCACCTTCTGTCATCCCAACTACCAAGGGGGCTTATTCAATCACTTTCTTGTCAGGCTACCTTTCTTCTCCAGAATACTCAATTCCCAAAACACAACAAAATATAAATGAATGGAAAGTGCTAATGACACATGATTGCCAAGAGGTATCAAGTTGTTTAAGGTTCTTTGCTGACTAAATTTTAAATTAGCAAAATCAGAAAATTCATTTCACAAGGCAATAATCTTTACATACTTTATAGATGCCCACTAAAAGGAAATACTCACTATTGTTTACCAGTCTGTCGGCTTTCCTATAGTAGGAGCCATATTAGCTTTGAGAGTCTCAAGTATATGTAGTTTACTTCATGTGTATATATATATGATCTGTGCTTAAAAAAGCTAAGCTAATGAAAAAAACCCTGCATTTTAATTAAACGGAAAATGGCATGAAATGATTAAGACTCAGAAATTGTTCTGTACTACTGTGAAGTTTAAAGATACATATTAGATCTTTAGGATCGGATTAATGTCATCTTCAGCAATTAAAAGTCAACATCTTTAAGTTCAGCAAATAATACAAAACAGTTCTCCAACCTTATAATTTCATGCCATTTTCCTCTTTAAATTGCCTTTAAAATGTCACTGTGATGACAAAAACTAACAATTCTAATAACTTACATGCAATTTAAACTTGTATTTTTTAAGCCATTTTTGACTTGGGTTGGTTATATAATGTTTCTAGTAAGATTGTGTTTTCTAGGATATTTTCATCTGAGAAGAATCTTTTCTAAGCAAAAGAAGTTGAATGACCCCTGAAATCACAGTTTATGGGTGTGAATTCTCAGAAACACGCAAACAAAAAGTGTCAATGATGTGTATTAATTTAATTATTGTTTCAGAAAAGATAAAGCTTTAATTTTTCTATGTTGTGAAGAATTGCTCACATTGACATATAATTTCATGTATGCAAAGACTCAAAATCAATAATGGAAACTTAAAAAATTGTTTAGAAGCAGTTTCTGATCAAACAACCAGAACTTCTCACTGAAGAGATGCCCTATAGGTAGGAAATCAGTGGTTTTCTCAGATTCTGGTATAAATAAGCTAGTAGTAATTGTTAACCTTTCTATATGTTTCCGTCTCATTTTTCTATTTCTGTATGAAATAGCTCTTGATAATCTTTTAGCAACTTCCTGCAATGTCCTTTATTATCACTGTAGTGCTGGAACTGACACACACACTCACACTCACACACAAGTCAGGGCTCACTCAACAGATGTGCTCTTGTGTGGGAATCATATCGCTTTTTCTGAAACACTGAAGGCATGACTTTCAAGTAGTTTTACGTTTCAGATCACCTTAGCCCACATTTAATCGAGACATGTTGGTTTAACGCCAAGCCACATCAGACCTTTTAAAGTTCAGTGGCTGTGATATAAAATTCTTCACTGTGTTACACCAATAAATTGAGAAGTGCAGTATAATTCTCTACCATCACTAGAACCATTGTGATATGAAATACAGACTTTGATAGAGGTCCTCACATTGGCGCACACTCACTCATAGTGATATTCAGAGTGTGTCCACAGAATAAAAACCCACATAGATGGTGTGCAGTTTATGGAAGTAAGTGATAAAAAACAAAACAAAACAAAATAAAAACAATCCCACTTTTTTTTTTAAACTATTGGTCACTTTACATGCCACTAGATTAAATGAGGCTGAATTCCTTTTCTCTAGGACCACTTTTGTAAGTGAGTTATTTATTTTTTTATTTTTTTTTTATTTTTTAAAGGAAGCAGCCAAAAGAGAGAGGCACTTGACATCTCCAGCAAGTATCTCAGTTCTTTTCATATTGTCAATAGCTCCACTGATAGCACTGTTCTTTTGACAGCTAAAAGCAGATGTGTGGGTTAAGTATGGGAGCAATTCAAATGTCCATAGTAAACTGCAGGGGGGCAGAGAGAGCTCAGAGAGCAGCAGCTTTAAAGTAATTGACTAATACAGTAAGGATATTAAAGTCATTTAGTGCCAAAAGGGAGCACACTGATCCCTGACCCTCAGCCACTTTGGAGTAATCTAGTATTCAATCCAGCGTGTAATGACTGCCAGGCCTGTCAATCCTCCAGGCTCTCCAGTCAAATGCCTGTGGCTACTATTGGCTTATGGTAAAAGGACAGAAATGCGAGGAAATGCCTCTCAATCAGCCTATGATGTGATAATGTTATTGCTCCAATGTATTCTATATTGTCCCTGCATAGCTTAATCTGTTGAGACCCATGTCAAAAATTGCCCTTGCTCCCCAGAGGTCTTTACTCAACCTTTCAGTAATACAAGTGGGTTTGAAAGGAAAGGGGGTAACTTACTTGATGAATTGTTTCCAGCTAATACATACATATATATATATATATATATACACACATATATATATGTGTGTATATATATATATATATGTGTATATATATATATATATATATATATATGAGGTCAGCTGTGGCTTAAAGGCTCTTCATGGAAGGTATAAATTAGAAGTGCACTAGCAATCTGATTTGTAAATCCTTGCTCTTGTTTTACTTCAATGGGCAAATTTTTTTACAATAAAAAATATTGACACAGAAATTTATTTACATGGTGGCCGATTTATATTCAGTGCATGTGCCAAAAGGAGTTTTAACAGGGGAAAACATCAGGGGGAAAAAAAAAAAGATTTACTTGTTCTTGCCACTTTGAGCCCATAAGAGTTGGCCAACTTTGAGGAAGCTTGCATTTTAAATGAGGTATTTTGCATTTGGAAAATATAATTATTGCTACAGGCTGAGAACAGGAAAAAAAACAGAGAGTACAGAAAATTGCCATTTTTTGTTATTTTGACTTTGCTAATTAAGGCAGTGGGAAGTGACCCACATAAAGTCTCTAAAGTTGAAAAGTCAAAATGAGATAATGACTATTCAAATCTTATTTTAATATTTTACAAAGTGTCTGTATTTATTAGTTGTTTTTCCACTTGCTTTTCCAAATCTGCTGTGTAGAATCTTTGGAAAGAGAAAGCTCCGATGATGTTAACACCATATTATTTTTAAAGAACATGAAGATTACATAAGAGTAGGCATTTGCCTATTTGTATTTTTAAGAGTCTGCTCAGCTCTTAACAAGGAAGGGCCTATGCAAAATGAGAAATAAAGTGAAAAACGATTTGCTTGTCAGTCTGAAATAACTTAGGTGTCAAAAACAAGTAACTTTCACCCTCCTTCAACCTGTCCTCTTGCCATTTAGCAATCTAAAATAATTATCCAATGTATGGTTGCACTCCAAAAATCATGTTAAACTTGAGATATTCTGAATTTTGTGTACAATTTTTGGTAGAGGGTAAGAGATAGAGAAAAATCTTACATTGTGTTCAGTGAATTCCCAGACCTCGGGGGTAAAATAAGTGCAGGAAGAATCTCATCAGGATATCTCGGGCAATTTTTCATTAGTACGCATGACAAGCTGTTTCACCACAGGCTATTGTTTTTATGGAAAGTTCAAATATAGCAGGATGGGATGTATGGTGTGATATTAACACATATGAGCACAATTATTACCTATTTTAGGTATATACGACCTTTGTCACCTAGAACATTGATACTCTTCATTATGATGTACTTTTATAGAATAAGATAAATGGTTAGACAGCTTTAGAGTTCTTTCTCTAGTTGTGTAATTATGTGTTTAAAGTTTTCAAGCCTTTTCTAAGAGATGAAACAGAGGGAAAAACCAAACAGGACAAAAAAAAAAAAAAATCATAGGGCTTCAAAGGATCTTGGAATTAATTTGTCTAGTCCCTCAATGTCCTGATATCAAAAAGCTAAGTCATTTCAGGTGAGGGTATATTTTACACAGAATTCCAAAATTCAGCATCATGTGTGTCTGCAAAAAGCAATATAACTCTAAAGTAATAACTTCATTCTAAAAGCAAGACAAGAAAACCAGTCTTTAAATGTATTGCAAGCTCCTCCAATGGGTTGAAATTTCATTTCTTCCTGTCTTGTCCTTGCAAAACTCAGAGTCACTTTTCACTCTTTTTATAGTAATGTCATATTCTTAACGACAGTTGATTAGTATTTAGTCTTCTTTAGATTGAATGCATAGAACATATTTCTGTTTGAGTTAACTGAGCATTTTCTCCTTTAGCTTCAACAGAATGAAGGGCACATGTCTTTTCTTCATTTCTTATAGTCAATAAGTAGTTGAAAAAATTCATTCCTTCAGCAAATATATAATTTCAGTTCTGCATGTGGCATTATGCCAAGCTCTGTAAGGGGTATAAAAAAGAATAAGAGGGCTGGGCACGGTGGCTCACACTGTAATCCCAGCACTTTGGGAGGCGGAGGTGGGTGGATCACAAGCTCAGGAGTTTGAGACCAGCCTGGCCAACATAGTGAAACCTTGTCTCTACTAAAAATACAAAAAATTAGCCAGGTGTGGTAGTGGGTACCTGTAATCCCAGCTACTTGGGAGACTGAGACAGGAGAATTGCTTGAACCCAGGAAGTGGATGTTGTAATGAGCTGAGATTGTGCCATCCAGTCCAGGGGAAAGTGCAAGACTCCGTCTCAAAACAAAACTAAACTAAACAAACAAAGGAAATAAAAAAAGAAAAGAAAAGAATGTGATCCCTAATTTCAAAAAAAAACTTATAGATCAATATGGTAGGGGAGACACTAAACAAATAACTATAACATACAGTTGAAAGGGGAGATGGTAACTAAAATTTATTAAGCACCTACAGCTAGTCAGTCAGTCTATATAACTCCAATGTTGGTCTATGTAACCCCAATAATAGACACAGGTACCTTGTGAGATAATTATTTTCATTTGTTAAGGTGTCCTTACTGAGGCTAAGAAAAGTTACCTTGTTAAAAAGCCAATACTGTATTTGACACAAATTCTTTCTAGCTCAGAGGTCCATGCTATCTCAGCAAGAGATCCAGAACAGGATCAGTAATGCCAGAATTTCTCCGTATGAGGAAAGGTCTTCCAAACTGAAATCCTATTTTTTAAAAATTTTATTTTAAGAGAAAGTAAGACTGTAAGGGTCAACCACATGATGTGGGGTAAGCAAGGCAATCTTTATGTGGGCTCATATCTTATTAAATTGACCTTTAAGGTCAAGCGGTCAGGAGCTGTCTTATTTCTAATTTTTGTCAGAAAATAGTAGGAGCTTAATAAACATTGAATTAGTTAAATGGGCATATAGGACATCTTTATTCCCCGCAGGCCTGGTATTTTCTTGAAGGATTAACACTCAAAACACTTCCAAGAGAGTGAAGGTAATCTCAGGAAGGTACAAAGTTGTGAAAAGACATTAAGCTTTTTAGCCATCAAAATGCTTTGTCTATTTATATTTATGAGGATTTCTTCCATAATTTTAATTATATTATGATTAGAAAGGAGGCAGAAATTTATGCTTATGAAAAAGTAAATATGTTGTGGGAATTTTATAAATTCATATTTAATGATAAAATTGAACCAACCAACTAAAATCAATGAATAATCAGCCTGCTATCTGTATTTACATTTCTATTCTCAAACTATTCGTTTAGAAGCTACTCTTCCTATTAAGAGCCATTATGACCCTTACAGGATTCAGAGGTTTTGGGGGTCATTTTTAGTATTAAAAATTGTGAAGAGTGTCTCTTTATTTTTTTTCTTTTCTTACCCGCCCTTTACATGTTTGTTTTTTAAACTTTTTTTATTGTATAGTACACATTTAGATCAACTATACAAAACATAAATATACAGCTCAACAAATTACCACCAGCAAGAATCGGAGTAACTACCAGCCAGCTCAAACAATACAAAACTGGCAGCAATCCAAAAGCACCCTTTGGACCATTGCCAATTACTATTCCTGCCTTTTTTCTTTCTGTCTCCCAAAGGTAACCACTAGTCTGACTCTTAATCTTGTTTTGTTTGGTCTTTATATACATAGAATCACTTTTGTATCTGGCTTCTTTCATTCTTCCTTGTTGTATATATGAGTAGTTCAGTCATTTTTATTGTACAGTATTCGTTTTATGGATACCACATGATTAATTTATCCATTCTACTGCAGATGAACATTTGAGTAGTTTCTAGTCTAGGGATATTATAAATAATGCTGCTCTGAACACAGTGCACTTGTGTATGTTTTTCTGTTGTGTACATAGCCAGGAGTTGAATTGCTGGGTCATAAATTATGCATATGTTTAAATTGAGAAAATGATGCCAGTTTTTAAAACTGGTTGTACCAATTTATTCTCCCACACACAGCATGTGAGAATTCCTGCTGTTTTATGTCTTATCAGCAGTTGGTATTGTTAAACATCTTATTAATTTTAGCCATTCATTGGTGTATATGATGGTGTCTCTTTGTTTTAATTTTCATTGCCCTGATTACTTATGGAGACAAGCACATTTTCATTTTTATTCGGTAATTTTGGTAGATTTTACCAATTACACTAATAAAAATCATACTGATACCATCAACAGTATTGAATACATGCTTTCTCACACTCCTGAAAGCACTGGGAACTATGAAACATTAAGTGAAAAAGAAATCACATTATTACTAAGATTCATTTCTTTCATTATAATTGATTTTTGAGGATATATTAATGTTGACTTTTATCATTATTATCACTTTTTGTAACATATACTTATGTTCTTTGATCTTTTTTTCTGTTGTGTTGACACTTGTTTTATTGATTTCTAAAATATTTTTACATATTATTGACATTTTTCTGTGGCAAATATTTCCTCTAGTTTGCCCTTTGATTTGGTTTACACTTCTTCCAGCCAGAAAAAAAGTTTTTCATTTTCATGTAGTCAAATTTATCAATTTTATTTATTTAAGGTTTTAGGATTTTTGTATATTTATGATGGACTACTCTACCCAAATCACCACAAATTATATTTTTTAATAGCTGATATTCTGTTCTAGATCTTTTATGGTTTTGATATTTACAAGTAAAATTTGATCTACTGTGAATTTATTTTGGAGTAAAAAAAGATGTGATATTTACAATTCCACCATTACTCCATTAATACATCTATTATATACTGATTTGAATTATCATTTCTGTTATTCAGTAAATTCCCATATATACTTTATTTCTGAACTTTCCACTAGGTTAAAATTGTATGTCTATTCCAATGCTAATTATAGGCTGTTACATATATATATATATTTATGTGCTAGTGTTTTTTTTTCTTTCAGGATATTCCTAGGTTTTGCTTGTTTATATTAACTTTTCTGAATGAACTTTGGATAAACTTTAGTATCATTTTGTTGACTTCTCACCAAAATCCATGTATATTAGATTTATATTATATATTAATCTTGGGAAAAATGGACATCTTTGTAATACTGAGTATCTCCATTCAACAATAGGATTATTTTGTTCATTCCAGTTTTCTTTTCACCTTGTTTTTCTATTTACTTTTTTTTTTTCAGCCAGGAGTTAACCTTCATTCACAAGCACACATATACCCATGTGCATATAATGTATGCATAGCCAGTGATCTTTATAGACTCGGAGGGAGGGATTCATAGTCAAAATTAGATATGTATTCAAGTATATTCATAATCACATTTATAATACGATTCCAACAGTAACATAATGAAAATTAAATACTTCAAGTAAGAATTAAATATAATGCTTTTTCTGTGTTGCACTAGTTTTTAATAAATTAACTATAGAATTTGGGAGTATATTTCCCCTAAGGAAAAAAAAAGCTCTTGTCATGACCAAGTCGTTATTTTTTTTTGTTGTAGCAATTCCATGTCTGAAGACCTAATACTCACCCAATATAATATGATATCCTCTTGTCCACAGGAAGGCATGGTCCAGTTGGACAGCAGTAGAGTTGGGGAAAGTTGTATGCAATCACATCAATCAATTAAACAACTGGAAAATATGCACTGAGTGCTTAGTGTGTTTTTACTTAAAATATGCTTAGGAAACAGCAAACGACTGGACTGAGTATTAACCGACTATAAAAAGAGATCACAGGCATGGAAATTCATGTAGGCTGGACAGGAAGAAGATGACTTCACCTATTAAGTAGGATTTATGGACAGCCTTTTAGATTTCTTAAGAAATGAATGCTACCTGGAAATGGGAGAAGTAGGGCATTCTGAAGAAAAAAGACAAACTAAACAGACAGCAGGAAGTAGTGGTCAAAACATCTAAGAGGTGGAATATGGAGGCTATTGAAAAACCGCCCTCTTTCCTGTTTATCTACAACTCTAGCTCTGCAAATTACACAAACAATAGGCTTAAAGTTTCAGTATTGTTCATCTTCTATTTGGATTAAAAATATGCCTCATTACTTTAAGATCAGGCATTGCTGTGATGCTTATAAGCTACAAGAGCATAGTTGTTGCTTCAATTCTTGTCTTTCTGCTGGTTTTATTCTTTTTTTATTCAGAAATTGAAGAGCTCACATGAGAGCTGCTCAAGGGTATTTTTTTTAAGTGAGCTAGTACTAAAACCCTAGCCATCTTCACATTTCAAACTAAATAATTTTATCTTAGATAATAAAACAATGATTTCTTTTATAACATTCCTTCATTTGCACTTTAATCTAATAGAACCATTTTGTAAACATATTAGAGAATGACAGTGCAGTCTTCTCCAAGCTGGATTTCAGACAGAAATATATATGTACTGCCTTACAACGCATAAATACATATACACAAACATACATATGTGCATACATCCTTATTATCTCAGAATAAAAATGCAAATGAATTTATCAGCCTAAGAGTGGCACCAAATGGAAATTTATGCACATACATTTAAAAAACAGAACCCTTGAAAATAAAGCAGTTGCAGCCTATTAATTTTCCTCTTTGACAGTTTTTTAAATTCCCCTAAAAAAATGAAACAGCATGAATACTGTCAATATATCACAACAGCCACATTAGGTTTTGTGATATACATCATAATATAAAGAGCACTATTAGAGCACAACCTGGGAACCATTAAATCATTCTAAATCACTGTTACATTCCATTAGTGTCAATGGTGAAACCACATAATAGGCTTTATTACAAACTTCACCTTGGTAGGCCATTGTCTCTAATAACCACTTCTCTATGATGTGGTATCATACCCAGAAATCCAGGGAGATAATAAAGGCTCCCTTATTTCTTTTTTATTGGATGGGTAAAGTTAAATTTAGCTGTAAGTAAAAAAAAAAAAAAAATCCTAAAGCTTTGTTCACTAACTGCGAGTTGCTGCTATTTGGACAAAAAAAAAAAAAAAAAAAAAATTAGGCAGACTTGGGAAGAACAGTTTGAAATAAATTTAAAACCTGGCAATGCTGAGGCCAGGGTAGGCTGGGCAGTGCCAGCAATTACGATGTCATTTTTGAGATGCGGTTTTGTACATTTGTGCGCCTCTTTACACTTTGTTCAGGAGCAGGGTATTGATTATAGGAACACTGTAAGTTTCAAACCTGCCCTTTCCCTCATTCTACCCCGGTTTGAGCTATACCCTTTTAAAAAGTCATTTGGGCACTTTCTTGAGGTGAGGCTGGTAAGGACTTCAGCTCAAACTGAGATCAATTTTCAGATGTTTCAGGGAGAATTGTTGTACAGTGTTCTGTGCCCCTTTTCTTTACAAATAGAATCATTTACTCCCCTCCCCCTACAATGAATTTAAGGGATTTTTCATAATCCCTATTACTTAGATACACCCACATAGAAAATGCTCCCCGCAAAGATTTCTACTACACAATAGACACTTTTGTTATTGACTAAGGAAGTTTTAGGATATAATAAAATAAGTGAAAATCAGATGCAGTTTCAGAGGTGAATAATAATATCACAAATGATTGATATAATTTATGATTTAATAGGCTATCAGTTCAAAGTCAGAAGCTTTATCTTCTCTCTGTTATTCTTGAGTAATTGTGTTTTAAAATTATTATTTATTTCTGTGAAGTAACAATCTACCTTTAAAGGTGTGCTTTGAATAAGGTCAATTCAGGGCAATGAAATAGATTATTATTCAAATGACTGTACTTTGCTTTTGCTCTATTTTTTGAAGACCAGACTTAAAACAATAACATTACTATATGTATCCCTATAAGAGATGATGTTTTAACTTAGGAAGAGAAAGGGTTAAGGCAAAGAGGAAAAAAAAAAATCCACATATATTATGGGAAGTAAAAATAAATCACCAGGAATCAAATACTTCAGAAGGATAACTAGACAAAATAAAAAATGAGGTAGATACACTTTTATAAGAATTATCTAACGAAAAGGACAAAATAATAATAAACTTGTAAATCATAAAGTAGATGAAAGGTAAAAAGACAAAAATTTGGTCTCACTCAATAAAATTATTTAGAGTGGTCTTACGTAGTAAAACTTTTCAGATTTCCCCATTAATAGTGAGGCTTGCTTACTGAAAACATGTTTTCTGGATTGGCATAAAAACATGCTTCTTCCTCCCTCCAATTTTTCTTCCCTTTCTTTCTGTTCTTTTTCCTTGTCTTCCTCCTCTGTCTCCGTCTCTTTTCTCTATCTCTCACCCTGTCTATCCCCCTTGCTTCCTTTTCTTCACTTTCTCCCTTCCTCTCTTCTTTTCCTCTCTTTCTCTCTTTTGGCGTTTTGCACTCTCTTCGTCTTTCTTTCCCCCGTTTTCTTCATTAATAGCCTTTTGCAATGCTGGTTTATGAATAATTTGTTTGCAAATAACAATTCAGGAAAGTGTTAACATAGCACACCATGGAAGGAAAATTGAAAATAGAAAGCTGAGGTATTAGGCTTTTTAATGGGGATTTGAACAGAAAGAAAGCATAAGCTTGATTTGCCGCCTCTGTCACCTAAAGAAAGTCTTTTAGCTAAAGCTTCACCTCTGACCTTGTTTTCTACTTTCAGGGTATACTGTATTTCTCTTTTTTTGTTATATGTCTGGTTTGCAATGCCATTGATGTTCATAGGGAAGTGAGAGAATTGCTGTTTGAAAAGTCCATGCTCTACTTTATGAAGGCTAGCTTTATTTTCTTTTTTTTGTCATATTTTCTCTTTTTGCTTTTGGAAAAATTCATGATAGAGGCCAAGTCTTAAACACATTGGAAAATTTAACTAACTTAAAAATAATAAATGTTCACCTACTTTTGGTTTTAATCTTTCTCTGATGTAAAACTGTCACTTCAGACATTGTCGTTTCAGAGTTGAATCTCAAAGTGTCATGAATGAACTGCTATCATTTTTAAAAATATTGCTGACTTTTTTAGCACTGATTTTAGGCTTCAAATGATGAACACACTGGGTTTGGCTTGTTTCACACAGTTACCAGACAAGTTTTGTCTTTCAGGTCAAGGATAAATAAAATCAAGTCAAGTCATACAGTGTTGCGTCTTAATTTTGTTTACTTGTTTGATACCAGAGAGGCGATTTTGCTGAATCCTGCATGCACAGCATCAGGCTTGGCAGAATTAAAAATCTGTAAGAACTGCTTCGCTAATTCAATACTCCTTCTAGATGGAAATGGTAAAGTTGGAAGATGTGGGGAAAACTTTAGCCATAGGGTGACAGTATAACTTATCTGACAGGAGCAAATAACTCACTAACTCCTGAATAACTATTTTCCATATTCTGTATGTCCATTCCAATTTTAAGAAAAAAATGCCTAAGAAGTTTGGATAATTATGTGATTGCAAATCCTGCATGGAGAAATAAGAAAAGTAATGCCATTATATACTCTTTTTCTGTCTTGGTTTGTATTTTATACAATCGTTTGTTAACACATATAAATTAAGATTTTATAGCACTATAAGTCCTGAAATATTTGTCAAGTGTATAGAGATTTTTAAAAACAGGCTTTCCAGAGAAGGGATGGGGTAATCAAATATAATTTTTGTAGTGGTTGATTTTGAAAGTAAAACTTTGATATTAATGTGTTTCTCTAAATGGTGCATGTATCACTTGTTTTATGAAAACAATTTTCTTATCTTTTTCATTTGCCTAAAAGAAATGTATGGTCATTTTCTTTAAACAATTGGAAAATATTTAAACATGAATTTTCTTCAAGGGAGTGATTAGCTTACATGGTTTTCATTATACACCTGTACACATTAATGTGTAGGGTATTTACAAGTCTGTAACTTTTTTGAAATTATAACTACAGGCTGAAAGACTCCTTCTTAGAAGAAGAAAGCTAGTAGTATTTCATTCAGTTCATTTATGACAGTATGTTAGAAAGCTGCCTGCTAAACCACAAATCTCATCCCATTAACTCACAGAATCCTATAACCTTGAACTATTCAGATTTCAGATGGCCAAGTGAAATGTCCTTACCTTGCATTTATTCATAAATATTAAGACCTTTCTGTGAAGTCAGAATTATTTGAATCCCACTATTATTGTAAACATGTGGACAACAAAGACTTATATAGTTTAAAATGTATGAGATAAGAAAATAATAACAGATATGTCATTTTTAGACTAACTACTATATCTTTCTCTCCTCTCCTTTCACTCAGTGATCATCCCATGAAAGCTTCCATTTTTCTTTAATAATTTAATTGAAAGTATAATCTCATTTTATTTATTTATTGACTTAGTTAGTTAGTTAGTTACTTAGTTATTTTAGACTGGGTCTTACTCTATGGCCCAGGCTGGAGTGCAGTGGCACAATCTGGGCTCACTGCAACCTCTGCCTCCCGGGTTCAAGTGATTCTCCTGCCTCAGCCTCCCGAGTAGCTGGGATTACAGGTGCCCGTGACCACACCCAACTAATTTTTGTATTTTTAGTAGAGACACGGTTTCATTGTGTTGGCCAGGCTGGTCTTGAACTCCTGACCTCAAGTGATCCTCCTGCCTCGGCTTCACAAAGTGCTGGGATTACAGGCGTGAGCCACAGCGCCCAACTGAAAATATGATTTTAAGTGGATTTCAGTTAAAAATGAAAAAGGAAACAACATGAAGCAAACATTTATTGAAGGCTTACTATGTGGTAGGTGCTCTATTTTCTATCAATGTCTTATTTAATTTCCCAACAACTCCATGAGTTATGTAATTCAAGTGGTGTTTCCCCATTATTTACATGATTGAATTAAAAATAAAAGGCTCCTTCTTAAGGTAAGATAACCGGATCTTGAATTTGGATGTTATAATTCAATTAAGTGTAACATAATGGCTCTTGCCTCAAGGGAATAGTTCATTAATTCCTTCAACCAATTTTATTAAGGGTCTACAATGCCCAATACTTTACCAGTCTCAGAAGACAAGGCCATGAAAAAAATTCAGTGGCAATCCTCAAGGCTACCATATTCTTTTGAGGAGAGAGACATTCAAATACAAAAATTTGGCCAGGCGCAGTGGCTCATGCCTGTAATTCCAGCACTTTAGGAGGCCGAGGGGGTTGTCTCACAAGGTCAGGAGTTTGAGACAAGCCTGGCCAACATGGTGAAACCCCATCTTTACTAAAAATACAAAAATTAGCCGTGCCTGGTGGCGGGCACCTGTAATCCCAGCTACTCGGGAGGCTGAGGCAGATAATTGCTTGAACCCGGGAGGCGGAGATTTCAGTGAGCCAAGATCGCGCCACTGCACTCCAGCCTGGACACAGCAAGACTCCATCTAAAAAAAAAAGGCCGGGAGCGGTGTCTCACGCCTGTAATCCCAGCACTCTGGGAGGCCGAGGCGGGCGGATCATGAGGTCAGGAGATCAAGATCATCCTGGCTAATACAGTGAAACCCCGACTCTACTAAAACATACAAAAAAATTAAGCCTGGTGGCGGGCGCCTGTAGTCCCAGCTACTCGGGAGGTTGAGGCAGGAGAATGGCGTGAACCCCGGAGGCAGAGCTTGCAGTGAGCTGAGATCGTGCCACTGCACTCCAGCCTGGGCGACAGAGCGAGACTCCATCTCAAAAAAAAAAAAAAAAAAAAGCAATTTTTTCGTATGGCAGAAGCCATAGTAGAGGCACATGTACGAGTGGCGCTGTGCTCCCGATACATTAGGTGGACATTTTCACCTTACGTGTTGTCAGAAGGAAGTAAAATCTTTCTGAGAGGAAGGAATATTGATGCTGAGCCCTAAATGAGAAATTAGTTTGGTAGAACTGTGGATCAGATAAAAATGCAGCCATGTAACAAAAAGAAGCTAAAGGGAACAGGGATTATCAAAAATTTTAGTCTGATTTGATCTTTTTGTCTGATTTGATCTTTTCACTGTGAGCATCAAGTATGTGAAAGTGTTCAAGTGCAAAACTGGATAGGAGGACCAGGGTGGTATTACAAGTAGCCTCATAAATTATTCTATGACTTTGGATGCACCAACCAAAACTGGCTTACTATTAATTATGGATAATAGCTCTGAGAGCTACTAATAAATTCCTTACTAATTGTACTTATTTATTGTGTGTAAATTTAATCTAATCTATAGACTTTCTGTTTGGCTTATCTATCCATGAATTAAAAATAAGAATTGGAAACAGTTAACATTATTATATACATATGATTATAATTTTAATGTTGAGATATATTTCATTATATATTCTGCATCTCTAACTTTATGGTTCCAAATTTACTACCACAATTTTAAAAGGGGTATAGTGTAAAACTATAACAATATTAACAACATATACCTAATGAGTTTGGTTCTAATAAGATCAAATTACTATTTTTTTTCAGGTTTCTGATAAGAATTGCTTTCTGTATCCCATAATGACCTCTAGCCATCCATGTCATAGGGAGGTGGCGCTTTGTACTGGATGAAGCAAAGGTTTGCAACCTAGTTCACTGTTTCCCAACTGTAAAATGAGAATAATATTACCTGGGTTATTATTGTGAAGATTAAATGACATAAGTAATATTGCAAAGATAAAGTCTGGCACTTTTCCCTTCTTAAAAACCTCATTTTAAAACAAACTTATCTAGGAAAAAATCTACAAAGTTTATATGAATATTTTTATGTATTTTTAATTTCTTCTAAATTATAAAGGGCAACACCAGTTTTGTCAATATTTTCATAAATATTTCTAAAGTTGCAACATAATCCAGTATTAAAAAGCCTGAAAAGATTAGTTCACATAATTATGAGCGTAGTAGTAGAAATCACGAAAGTAATATTTATTTGATAGTGCCGAGTTCTTCCCATATATTGTCTGTGTTACTCTTCACACATTCCTTTGAGGTGTGTTCTTTTATCATCCCCATTTGAAACCAGAGTTAACTGTGACTCAAGAGGTTTAAGTGACATGTCCCCAAATCACTGAGATGGTAAGTAAAAAGAGAGAGGCTAGCTTTGAACACATGACTATTTAACTCCACAGGACAAGTTCTTAATATAGAAATTCAAAATTTTAATCATAAGTTCTACAAGTTTCCAGTTTGATTTAGCAGTAAACAGATGGACCATGTGTTTTAAAAAATAGCAACTGATTTACCCATATAGTTGCTCTTAGTTGATGCAAACTGCTAAAATAATAGATATGGCCATAAAGGAATTGCCTTTCTTTCTTCTTGCCAATATGCAAGAAGAAAACAATGAATACATGTTTAACTAAATCAGAAGCAAGGAGTATCCCAAATTATTATCTCTGAAAGGATATTTTTATGTTGGACAGCTATAGTCTTGTGTAAATTTGAAGCTTTAACCTATCTTTAAAATTGATGACATTTTTCTAAAAAACATTATAACTTTCACAATTTGTTATTTTATGCTTTAATCTTGTGAAATTTGAACTTTAAGGCTAGGTGCCTATAATCCTAGCACTTTTGGAGTCAGATGTGGGCAGATCGCTTGAGTCCAGGAATTTGAGACCAGTCTGGCCACCATAGTGAAAACCTGTCTTTCCAAAAAACAAACAAACAAACACAAACAAAAACTTAGCCAAGTGTCATGACTATACCTGTAGTTCCAGCTACTCCAGCAGCTGACTTGAGAGGATCTCTTGAGCCCAGGAGGTTGGAGGTTGAGGCTGCGGTGAGCTGAGATTGCGCCACTGCACTCCAGTCTGGGTGACAGAGCTAGACCCTGTCTCAAAAAAAAAAAAAAAAAAAAAAAATTCTGTTATGTTGAATATATTTTTGCAAATGTGAAAGTTTCTACGTCTGTAGAAATCTGAATATGTAGAAATGGGTATTTGAATAGATTCTTTTTAACACAATTTAAATAAAATTTTCAGCATTTGTCACTAGTAAGTTTCTTCAATTTATCAGGCTGAAGTTAAATAATTTAAAACTTGAAAAATATCTATTTGGGGGCATATTTAAAATTCTTCCCATCCTTAAGAAAACATATTATAGATTAACTATTTCTAACCATATCTAATTCTATGTAACATTTGAAATTTTAATGTGACTCATTTTAATAAGGAATGTAATGTTAACTTTAAAAGCTGACAAAGATATTCTTTCAATAGCTTTTATGATATACATTTTCTCTTATTTCATAATTCAATTTTAGAAAGGCTTATTTATTTTGTTATCTAACTAAAAACAACATCTGAAAAATATGTGGGCAATTGGAAAATATTGTTTTGGAAAAATGAAATGTAATGTTTTCTTAAAATAGATTGTGCAGAAATTGAACTTATCAAACAAAATGTTACATGGCAAAGAAATACTTTTTGTGTTTAATTTATAAAAGTAATCAGAAAAGGTCCCTTTATGAATGGTGGAAAATATTTGCAAACTATGCTTCTGACAAAGCTCTAACATCCAGAATCTATAAGGAACTTAAACAAATTTACAAGCAAAAAATCAAATAACCCCACTGAAAATTGTGCAAAGGATATGGAACAGACACTTTTCAAAAGCAGATATACATGCGGCCAACAGACATACAAAAAAATGCTTAACATTACTAATCACTAGGGAAATGCAAATACAAACCACTAAGAGATATATCATCTCACACCAGTCAGAATGGCTATGATTAAAAAGTCAAAAAATAACAGATGCTGGTGAGGTTGCGGAGAAATGAGAACACTTCCACACTGTTGGTAGAGTGTAAATTAGTTCAGCCATTGTGGAAAGTACAGTGGCGATTCTTCAAAGAACTAAAAGCAGAATTACCATTTCACCCAGCAGTTTCATTATTGGGTATATATCTGAAGGAAATTAAATCATTCTGCCACAAAGACACATGCACGAGTATGTTTATCACAGCCCTATTCACGATAGCAAAGACATGGAATCAACCTAAATGCCTATCAGCAGTAGACTGGATAAAGAAAATGTGATACATATATACCACGGAATACTATGCATCCAAAAAAGAATGGGATCATGTGTTTGCAGCAACATGGATGAAGCTGGAGACCATTACCATAGCAAACTATTGCAGGAACATAAAACTAAATACCACATATTCTCACTTATAAGTGGGAGCTAAATTACTCAAACACACAGACACATAAAGGGGAAAAACACACACACACTGGGGCTTACTTGAGGATGGAGAGTGAAAGGAGGAAGAGGATCAGAAAAAAATAACTACCGGGTACTATGCTTAGTACCTGGGTGACAAAATAATCGGTACATCAAACCCCTGTGACATGAGTTTACCTATATAACAAACCTGTACATGTACTCCTGAACCTCAAATAAAAGTTAAAAGAAAAAAATATATTTATTATCTCTCTGTAAAATATGAACAGATGCGAATCTATGAATTAGAACTATAAGTGAATTATTCATGCTTTGTAAAAAGAGAAACCTTTGCAAGAAACATTTTCTATGATTTTATTATAATGGCATTTTAAATATCAGCAGTCCATAATATCCAGAGTAAAGTTAACACTTTTTATTGTTCCCTTATGCCCAATATACAAATAAAGCAGGAATGATATGTCTCAATTCTTAAAAAAAAAAGCATTGTTACTTCCATAATTTATTTAAATATTTATCTAAACATTATCATGCACTTGATATGGAGTCACTGCCTTTGAAGAACAATCAGAAATCAGGCCAAGGTCCTCAAAATATAAATCAGCTAAAAAATAAATTTGCTTCAAGTGATTCACATAAATTTTTAAAATGAAACTCCATGAAGAATAAAATTTGGGATGTAAAAGATAAATTCCCTTAGTGAGTGTTTATGAAAAAGATTAGCAAACGAATACTATGGTCCAGGTCCCATTCCAGACAATGAGGATATTACTGAGAACAAGAAAGTCATGGAACATCTAGTTTACTGTGAGGAAATAGACAAAAAAGTAAATAATTAATAAATAATACTAAACATTGACAATAATTCCAAAGTAAATACAACTAGAGTGTGATATGATGGATGCTTGTGAAGTGGCTACTTAGGATGGTCAAGGAAGGTTTCTATAGATAAGTGACATTTAAGCTTCAATCAGAATATCAAGAAGGATTTCACCCATGAAAACATCTGCAGAAGGAATAGCAGGTATATGTGTCCCCAGATGGGAACAAACTTTGCTTGTTCAATGGGTACAGTGTACATCAGAGTCAAAGAAAATTAGATTGTATGGGCTGCCAGACCCTGGTGATTTAGGAGCTTCAACTATATTTTAACTCACATGTGGTGGGAGCAACCGAAATAATTATGCCTGATATTTATTTTATTTTATGTTATTTATTTCGTATTATACTTTAAGTTCTGGGATACATGTGCAGAACGTGCAGGATTTTTATGTAGGTATACACGTGCCATGGTGTTTGCTGCACCCATCAACCCATCATCTACATTAGGTATTTCTCCTAATGCCATCCCTCCCCTAGACCCCCACCACACGACAGGCCCCAGTGTGTGATGTTCCCCTCCCTATGTCCATGTGTTCTCATTGTTCAACTCCCACTTATGAATGAGAATATGCGGTGTTTGGTTTTCTCTTCCTGTGTTTGCTGAGAATGATGGTTTCCATCTTCATCCATGTCCCTGCAAAGGACAGACACTTCTCAAAAGAAGACACTTATGCGACCAACAAACATATGAAAAAAAGCTCATCATTACTGGTCATTAAAGAAATGCAAATCAAAACCACAGCGAGATACCATCTCACACCAGTTAGAATGTCGATCACTAAAAAGTCAGGAAACAACAGACGCTGGGGAGGATGTGGAGAAATAGGAACGCTTTTACACTGTTGGTGGGAGTGTAAATTAGTTCAACCATTGTGGAAGATAATGTGGCAATTCCTCAAGGATCTAGAACCAGAAATACCATTTGACCCAGCCGTCCCATTACTGAGTATATACCCAAAGGATTACAAATCATTCTGCTATAAAGACACATGCACACATATGTTTATTGCAACACTATTCACAATAACAAAGACTTGGAACCAACCCAAATGCCCATCAATGATAGACTGGATAAAGAAAATGTTGCACATATACACCATGGAATACTGATATTTATTTTAAAAAAAGATAAAATAAATATGGAGAATAAATTGTGGAAGAAGCAATAGTGAATTCAGGGAGACCGGTTAGAAAGCTATTGCAGTGATCTAGCTAACGGATATAGAAAGATCCCAGGATAAATTTTGGAAGTAGCATAGAAATATATGCTGATAAATTAAATGTAGACAATAAAGGAAAGAAAAAAAAGCCAAAGATGAGTATATTGGTGTACATTTGAAAGCACAAACATTAAAATGACTCACTCAGTGGCATTAGTTTTGTGAAGATAGTGTTTTCAGAAGCATTCTAATTTTTACTTCCTGAAAGAGTAAGAGAATATTGAAATTTGTATAACAATTTGAAAAGCTGAATTATAGAAAGATTCACTTCTAAGACTATTAGTTAGGCTGATTCATTATCTGTGGATAGGAATCTAATTCAAAAAGGCCTATATTAATCATGAGTATTTAATGTTCAATTGCAGGGCATGCTGGGAGTTGTAGTTTTCAGTTATCATATGTAATTTTTGTAACATTACTTAGTCTTGCAAAGTTCCATTCACCTGTCAAAAATATCGTTTGCCTTAGGCAAGTGATTGAATGCAGTTCTGCAAGATTGATCTATATAGAGCAGTTGGTGACAACCAGTTACAATTTTGAATTTCTAGGAAATAGCACTATGAACACAGGTCTTATTCCTCCTCCCAAAACAACACTTCCAGGCATTCCCATAGGATTTTTGGTAATTGTAAAGCTACCAACAGGTACACAATCAACACAAACTGAACATCATTGTAGGTATTAATAGTTGTTTTCAGGACACCTACAATGTACACAAAATATATCCAGAGAAATAACATACACAGGCTATGCTCTGAATCAAACTTGGAAAGTAGTTCCTAGATATTTAGGGAGATTTTAAAAATATTAAAGGTGATAGAGTTTCAATACAGAATCTAGGTTTATGTCCTAAGAATAAGCAACGAAATGGGAAAATGCCAAACCAAAGCAAACACATCTTTAAATGATGAAGTAAAAAGCACAATGACAATCAAAAGCTTTGGTGACCACTAAACAAGTTATAGTTTATCCCCTAGAGAGAAGCTACAATGGGCTGAACTTGTCATTAGGAGGAAGATTAAGTGCCAATGGTTCTGACTTGGTTAATTATATGCTCAAATCCCTTCAGTATATCACAGAAGCCAAAGCCAGGCTTTTTGCTTTTGAATATCTGTATCGTGACTCTTTGGATTGCTTGTTGGTTATTTATCTTGACAACTTGAACCTGAACATTAAATCCCATTGGCAACAACTATCTGTCAAGAGCAAATAAATAAATAAATAAATAAGATTTGTGTATTAGTTTTCATTATAGAAGTGCTTGTAGTTGAAAAAATATGTACCTGTCAAGTTTTCAACATCTCGCTGGGGATGCAAGCAATGCTGTTGTGATTTCAGAACCTGGCTGACAAATTCACGTTTCAGTAGTAAAGACAAATCAAGGGTTTTTCTCTCCCCCCTCCTTTTTTAATTCTGTTTTTTTCTTACCGCTTTGACAGTCATACATAACAATTTGAGACCTAAGTGCCACTTTGATTCACTATTCCATTATTAAGTGGCACAGTCGCTATAGAATAGATGACGGGCCTGTACTCAAGGCATTGCGAATTAAACAGCTTTCTACAACAGGGAGATTGAATGGCCCAAAGAATTCTGAAATATTTTTTAAAAAATAATTAAAAAGTGTGTTTCAGAAGCTTCAAAGTATATAATTTAAAATAATCATAGGTAGTTAATTGTAAACTATAGAAAACAAAATATTTTTTAGTAACATTGTTCAAGTTTAGAGGAAACATTAAATACATTAGCAAATATCCTAAACCCACAATTACTAATTTCAAATATGAGTATTTAATGGGTCTGAGGGGGGAAAAATAATCAGTGTGAACCTGTGCAGAATTTAAGGTAGGAAGAAATGAACATTTATTATGTGACAGTAATTTTACACCATATTCATAGAAGAGTATTCTAAAAGTATTTTTTATACCCTGAATGTAAGAGTTTCCACTAAAGTAATATTGACTTAAAGTACTTAAATTAATTCCTTTGTCAATATCTCTACAGTAAATCAATATACCTAGAATTAAACAACAGTTTTCGCCAGAAGGCAGGCTAATCTTGGTAATTTCTAGTTACAATTCATTAATCAATCCATCACCACTAGGAAAAAAAAAAAGGCAAAGCAGAAAGAATTTGATAATAATACCAAATAACAGAACTTTATTATTTCTTCAAAGTTTCTTCTTTTCATTCAGGAAATAAAAAATTAAAAGCTACGTTGCTATGACTCCCTATTATATTTTAGCTAACAAAATTAAATAATCAGTTTTACTAGAAATATAAAAAAAATTTAGTGCTTATTGCACTCCAGAACCTAATGAATCAGAAAATATATATTTTTTTAAGGTTATATTGAAAGCCAAAGGATTACTTTACAAACACTGATTTCATGATATATCCCCAGGGAGAAAAGACAACATGAATGGAAAATTCTATTAATCTATATAGTTCTGAAATATTTGCTATAATACTTATCTCTTCATGGTTCTGACAACTCAGTCAAACTGATGAGTATCTAAGGATGTGAATTACAATTTCAGTACTCAGTACTGCAACTCTGATATTTTCTTTCTTATCCTTCTGCACTAGAAAAACAAAATTGAATTATTTTGTTATCCTTTTTTACTCTTATTAGTAATCCCATAAAGCAAGAAAAAAAATATATCAAGGATAAAGGGGTGCTTTATACCTTTCATAGGGCGATGGTAAAGTGTTATGGTGCTGTGAAACAACAGCTGAAGGTAAATATATTGTTTCTGATGTACTTGAGACTGAGTCATTTAAGAAAGAGAGAGAAAAAAAAAATTTCACCGGTTTCTTATTTTACACTTCTGAAGTGCTAAAGGACTTTTAAAAAGAGAGAAAAAAGTAATTATGGGAAATAAAATAAGAATTTTCTTAGTTACAATTCCTGGCCCTTTGCTGATTGCAGTAAATTATAAATTATGCAGTCAATGTAGGCCAACAAAAGAAGACATCTTCAAATCTCAGTCAAAGGTAATTACTTAAGTCGGCTGAATGTTCCCTTTTCATAGAGTGTGATCTCTCTCTGACAGCTCACACTGACAGATGACCTTCTCGGCAACGTTCTTATCCTTCGGATCATGAGCAGTGTGGCTCTCTCCCTGAATATCTCTATATATTTGTGACACTAAGCTTTCAAATACAGCTATTGACAAATCAGAACATCAGTCTAAGTGCTGGTCTTCCTATCACTCACAATAAAGTAGCTATCACTTGTGGTGGTGTAGAGCAAGTACATCTCTGAAAAATGAGTTCTCACCAAGTGCTAATTTGACACAGCTCGCTTGCCTTCCCATAATTGCTCTGTCATTGTCAGTTGGCAGTTCGGGCTCATTCCTGGAAGCTGTGCCGTACAATTGGATACAATTACTCCCATTTACCACCACTATTATGCCACTGATGTTGCCCAGTCCGCATATTGACATGCCTCATTAAACCTGGATGCGGGCCATTAATGAACATTGTTAGCATTTCTCTTAAACTTTTTTGCCTCTAATAAACAGTCAGTGTTCCATGAAGGAGCAATGCCATCCTTGTGATATGATATTTATTATCTTATGGGGGAAGGGGACTCGGCAAATGGAAACTATCCAGATGCTGAGAGAGAGATATACAGTTAGCTCAGTAGAGAATAGCGCTGATCAGCGAGACCTTTCTATACCAGGAGCATCCTACCATTAACCGAGTGACCTCTGCTACCCAAAAAAGAAAAGCAGGATAAACAGGGACACCCCAGAAGTGCCCATACCACAGCAGGTTTCTCAAGGTTGCATCATTGCCAATACCTCTCTCTAGCTCTCTCCTACCCCCAGGTGGTGCTATGTGCCATGATAAAGGTAATTTTGCCCTGGGTCTTCAATCCATTATGTCCAGCTAACTTCAACGTGCATTTTTATTCAGAGATAATTATGTGTTGATCAGAGAAGTCAGCGGCTGTCACCCATATAGCAGGTACACCTGTGGTGTGACATAGGTGGTAACGATGGCATGCTCTTGAGCTGTCATGACACACACAGGGACTTTATTATGTATATGTCATCATTTCTCTTAAGAAAATTATACTTTCCCACACAATGACAATAATGAACCTTTACAACACTCCCATAAACCTCATTTGCAGTTTTATTCCTGACCTTCATTATATATGTACTAAATATATAGAAACATCTATAAATATACACTATGATCTGTGCCTCTAAAGGTTTATAAATAAGTTTATAACTGTAGGCAAGTATGAGATATCCAAATGAACTTTTTGTTGAAAACTTAAAATATCTTAAATGAAAAGTAATTTAGCCACTTTGGCATTATTAACTTTTCTACATTTGTAAGAAAATACATATGTATACAGTTGAAGGTGTTTGTTGAACAGTTATTTGAGTGCTACTAAAATGGATCTACTGGATTAACTAGTGTCAAGTTGTCATGTACATTCTATAATTAAATTTACATAATACAACTAAAGAGAAAATCTTCATGTAGACAATGTTGATTTCTAAACCTTTATGTATATGTTTTAAATAAAATTTCCTATCAAATCAATTGGTGTGCTGGAAATTTTGCTCATAACATATAGAATTAATGTATGTCTTTTTAAAAGATAATGTGAAATCAACTCAGGCTAAATTTTGGATAAGGTGAGCCATTACACTGAAAATCTCTAAAGTTATGGTCAAGGGATATTTTTAAAAATACTTTTAAAGCTAAAATCTATTACCCTTACAGAACATATATAGCTTGGAGGAGACATTGCAAAACAGCCTCCATGATCCTGTATAATTTAGAGTCCTTAACCCTTAACACCTGGCCTAAGAACGCCTCTGTACTTATTTCTGGGAAGTTCTTATACAAACAAGGGTTCCCCTTCTCTCCTTTTAGCTAAGAAATACAATCTGTAACATTTCCAGGATATACTGAGCCCTGTCTCTCTCCTTGCTAATCTGTCTGGATAAAATAAAAATTTAATTATTTAATGGTTACTATTTGCCAGAGATGTTAACAAGCTTTCCTTGCATTATTTCATTTAATCCTTAAACAGCTCTATGAATTTGTACTATTTTTATCCTCATTTGAGAGAGTGTACTGAGAAACAGAGAGGTTAAATAACTCTCCCAAGGTCACAGAGCCCTTATTTAGCAGAGTAGAATTTAAATCTAAGAAAAAGGGTTCCAATGACCATATTCTTAACCAAGACGCTATATTGCCTTTCAAAAGACAGATATTTCTGTCTTGAAAATGGCAACCAGTTTGATTCATTTGCTTCCACAGGATTAATTTTGAAATTCACTGTTTTGGCATAGTGAAAGCATTATGAAGGCATAGACTTAATTAGAGTTTGATAAGATTTAGATTATGTGCTACAACTTTTAATATTTGGTGTTGTTCTGCATTTTGATTGCTACACAAAATACAAGGTAAAATAATTAAATTTATTTGTAATTTGAATGGATTCCATTTCAGAAATTGAAATATATATCACTTATCTTCTTTTTTAAAAATATAGGTCTACTTTCTTCTGATCTAGTAATTTTTGATCTGTTATTTGCAAAAAGAAGGTAATATACTTTCATGTAATATGGTTCACTCTATTTTTTATTCCAATGGCTAATTTAATCTCAAAGTCAGTCTATCTTTTGATATCTGCTGGGCCTTTCAAAACATTTCAGGAGCAGTTACTTTTCCTGTGATGTGGACACCTGTCTATCTGTTGCATGGAATAGGTCTAAGATCTCCAACACATCTCATTTGCTAGTTTGCCAGTGAGAACAGTTGTTTGTGGAACTAGTAAACTCTATTATTTTAAACATTTGATCATTTTCTTTGTGGGATTAACTAAAGCTAATCAATAATTTCTTACTTGAATAAAAAATAAAATGTTTAAGAATTTATTTCCCTAAGTTTTGTTTTTTGGCAACAGAAGGCTGTTTATCACTTTAATTACCTTAAGCATGTATCTGTCAACAGAAACCTTGAAGGATTATTGTAGGATATACTTGAGGTACTTAATCATTTTAATTACTATTAAGCTCAAAATTGTTCTGCTTTTTATATCTCATGATGTTCAAGGTGTGTGGGAATAGAAGGAGGAATATGAGGTGTGGCCAGCCAGGTAAACACAGATTACTGTTTTAATTTTATAAAGGGGAAGGATTATATTGCCTGCTTGTGTTCTTTTTCCTTGTCCTATTACTAGTTGGCACGAGTCTAGTGTTTGATGTGTAGGAAAATGGACCTGGAGCCGAGGAAATGATATAGTCTGCAAATAGAGAAAAAACATATCTGACTTATTCAATGATAGACTCAGAAATGGCCTAGGAGTTTGATTTAGCTTGCTTCAAGCTGTATTATTTAGGCATAAATATAAAGAGTTGTACATTCATGCTGTTCTTTGGGGAGAGAGAATTTCTTCTTTTTCCTTCAATGAGATACTTTAATGATTCATTTTTATTCATTCAAGAAATATTTACTGAGTGCCAGTAGGGACCAGGCATTAGTCAAGGTCTGGAAAATGTGACAGTAAATGAGATATAAACCCCTGTCGGCAAGGAGCTTACATTCTAGTGGTTGGGGATAATTAAGTAAATCATATAGTATGTGAGGTAGTGATAAACACTAGGGAGAAACTTAAGCAGGGAAGGGCCACAGGAAGAGTTAGACAGGGATTGCAATTTTAAAGCAGGGCAGCTGGGGAAGGCCTCACAGAGAGGCTGACATTTGAGCAAGCATCAGAAGGAGGTGAAGTAAGGGGCATACAAATATCCAGGAAGTGAGTGTTCCATCAAAAGGGAAAAGCCATGAAGGCCATGAGGCAGGAGTGTGGCTGGCATGCTTGAAGGATAGTGGGGAAAGCAGAGACAGGAGGGAGGTGAGTTAGATTAAATGAAGTGGAGAGTGGGTAGTACAGCAACCTGCAGCAATGGTTCTTATAATGATATAATTATATCGTTTCCCTTTGAGAGGCACTAATGCCATGCCCCTGTTATCTTCAACAAAACCTTGAATCCGAAAAAGGCAGCACAGATTCTTATTTGGATTTTAGAAGCAGGAATGCCAATATTGGGTAAAATCCAGCAAAAGTTTTCTCTTTCTCAAAGACCATGTTGAAGAAGGACTGTATTGCCAATCTGTTCAGCATGTAACTGTGTTGCATGAGTCCCTAAGCAAAATTTGCAGATCAGCAATGGTTTATGAATTTATATTTTCCTTCAGAGATTAATTTAGCTGGCACAGTTAAAGACATTTGAGACTAATTTTGCATAATTTTTGTTTTCTTATAGTATATCGAGCAGAAAGTTGCTGTGAAGCAGAGAAATATGTTAACAAACATATTATGTCCATTGGTCTCCCATTATTCCTTTAAGTTACATATTAATGAAGGAAACACTTTCCACTCTACTGTAATAATTGGATTAGAATTTAGTCACTTATTTACTTGCTTTTCCCACTCTATATGGCTAATAATTACTAAAAACTAGTTGTTCAAGTATATTTTAATTATACTAATATAATCTCAACATATTTAACACACACATATTTTGGTTCATTATTTATGTAAGCATGATTACCTCCTCTGTGGTCACTTACAGTTCCCACACATCGTGCTTCCATTTTTACACTTTTAAGAGAATGATTAAACCTTGAAATCAGTAAATACTCAATGATACATAAAATAACTGATTAACTGTATAAAAAATTTATATAAACATATTTATGTGCTGTATTATTGTTCAAATGGGTGATTCCTATGGTCCAAATTCAGAGAAATTGAATTTTTTTCAGTGTTACTACTTGCCAGCCGTATTTTGTGTTAAATACATAAATTAACAGGATGATCTTGACATATCAACTGGGTGTTTGCTTACTCATTAGCTGGAGTAATCACATGCAAATAATAAAATTTGAACTCTATATGTATAAACTGGTTATAATAATGTAATAACATAAAAACAATAGATTCTTATGTATCATCTTTATAATTCATAAACATTTTTCTCTTGTGTTATTTGCTCAATAACACAATAAGAATGTTTTGTAATTGTTAAGATTAGAGTTTTTAATCCACAAATTTCTCTCTATGGAGGAAGGAATACTTCAAAACCTAGCACTATTGCAGCAATGAAGACAATATGAAGCTGTTTATAAAAACTCAGTACATTTTAACATTCATTTTAACTAAATATTACAAAAGGAAATTTCTATTATTCTATGCACACTATTTCTGCTCAGTTACAGTGAACTACTCATAATTCATTTTATGGCATGAGTTGAATTATTTTATTTCTCTCTACCAAAAAGTTATTACTAAAGTCAGATATCTGAAACAAATGGATCTAAAAACATTGCCATAAAAAAACTACAACACCAAAGGAAAAAAACACTGAGCAGGCCCCCTTACTAATGGCACTCTCTCAATCTGGCATAGTTTTTCATAAGCAAATGAAAAGAACAGCCAATATCTGGGTTTGCAAGATGGATATGAATGTGAAGTTTTGAATCAACATTTAAAAATGATAGTTGAGCTAGGTGAGGTGGCTCATGCCTGTAATTGCAAACCCAATATCTGGGTTTGCAAGATGGATATGAATGTGAAGTTTTGAATCAACATTTAAAAATGATAGTTGAGCTAGGTGAGGTGGCTCATGGCTGTAATTCCAGCATTTTGGGAGGCCGAGGCAGGTGGATCACCTGAGGTCAGGAGTTCGAGACCAGCCTGGCCAACATGGTAAAACTCCAGCTCTACTAAAAATACAAAATTAGGTGGGCATGGTGGCGCATACGTCATCCCAGCTACTTCGGAGGCTGAGGCAGGAGAATCGCTTGAATTCAGGAGGTGGAGGTTGCAGTGAGTGGAGAGCATGCCATTGAACTCCAGCCTGGACAACAAGAGCGAAGCTATGCCTCAAAGCAAACAAACAAAAAGTTGAAATAGGAGTCAGTATTTCTAAGCTGAAAGGTTTTTCTTCATGTTTATTTTTTTTTTGAGCCTCTATTCTCATCATTCTCATCATTTTAAAGCCGGGAATTTGAGACCCAGAAAACTAGAATATAATAATTAAAGAAAAAAAAACACTGCACATGTAACTAAAATATAAAGGCTGTAGAAATAAATCTTGAAAAAATAATCAGGGAATGTGTTAGACTAGTGAAGATAAAGGCACAACACAACAGTGAGTAAGAAATTTTGAAAACAACGTTGCACCCTCTCTTCCAACTTTTCATAGTACTCGTTTAAAGGATTATCTTAAAACTTTTTTTTGTCAGATCTTTCACATCTATTTCTTTGCTATTTAACATCTGATTAAGAAGGGGCTGGGAAATAAATGTCTCTGTATATTGAAGGTTGAAAATTATGGATATAGAAATTATATTTCGAAACTGCTAAAAGAGTAGAATAAACTTTTAGGGAAGAGTTCAGGAACTCAACTTTATGATATTTGTGCCCCTGAATCTCATATAATTTTATAAAACTAACAGTCTGTAGCTTCTTAAATAGACTGGACACAAAATCAATGACTAAAAAAAGCTAAAGTGAATGTTCGATAAAAATTTAAATACCCTGAGTTGCAGGAATTCATTTTTTCCCTTCTTTTAAGTAACAATATTTGTCATAATCTGTTAGTATATATCATGCTACAATTCAAGATGCATAATTAAGGTAAGAACATAATATGTATTACGCATTATTCCTTATGTTATATGAAGCCTGCTGCTAAATTGAAATTCAAGTATTTCCACATATCTATTCATTTATAAAAAATAAGACAGTCTTGGTATAAGCCATACTACATTCCAAATGAAAGTTTTGTAGAGCCTAATACAACAAAGTTTTACAAAAAGATTTAAGTGTACAACAAACATAAATACCATTGTTTTCAGCAAGTCATAAGTGGCTAGGAGCCAAGCTGAGGCAGTTCATGCCAGAAAATCTGTGCACCAGACTCATAGAGAATGCTTAGTTAACATCATTTTAATGATGAATTAATGAGCAGTAAAAACATTCTAATTCCAATATGTACAATATCCTCTATTTGAAGACACAGGACCAGGGAGAACAGATCCATGACCTTTGTGATACTGGGAAAGGTTGGGTTCACTACAGTTAACGCCAATCTGTCTTTCAAGGTTAACTACACATGCCATACTGGGAAATGAAACAATTACTAACGAATTTTGTAGGTATATTCTGTCAAATTTAAAAGGTAATCAGAAGTCTAAATGAAAATTATGCCCGAGGAATGCATATAAAAGGAGAGAAACTAGGAAGGGGTGTGTGTGTGTGTGTGTCTCCTATGTCTGTGTGTATTTCCTAAAGACATCTTCAGGAAAGGACAACCTAAACTTTTCAAATAAAATACACAGGTGAAAATACTGAAAGAAGGGAATGCCCAGCTTGTGGGAATGGAAGTGTATTCAGAGAAAACAGCATCTAATCATCTGGGCAACACTAGCACAGCAAGAGTAGATGATTCATTATTCTGTAATTAACTTTTAATTAACTTTACTCTGCTTTACTTATTTTAGAAAATTAAATAAACTTCATTTTATTGCTCATGCTAAACCAATGAGCAGAAGCTAGAGTTCTGCTCTAATTAAAATAAGCAGTTGAGCAAAATTGTGTGTAAAGCATAATGAAGAACTGTTTCTGTCCAACTGATATATTTCTTATGTTCTGAAACACTTTGATAGGTTTTTCAAAAATTCCATTAGTTAGGTGCTGAAGTCTTCTAAAATATGTGATTTAAGAAATAATATTACAGGCCAGTCTTAAGTAGGAGGCACATAATTGATTTAAGCTTAATAAGTAACATTTCAAATTACATGATTAAGAGAAATGTAAGAGAGAGAGAGAGAAAGAGAGTCAGGGAGAGAAGAGAGAAGAGGAGAGGAGACAAGAGGAAGGCGGAGGAAGGGAGAGAAAAGGATAGAATTTGAAATCGTGCTATTTTATCAGTCATCAGAGCAATAGCTGTACCTTTTTTAAGAGGAGCAAGAAAGAGAAAGCAAAGAGCTAATATAGTAAGATTACAAACACTGCATCATTTTTTGGATTCTCCCTTTTATCCATTTTTAAACATTTGTTACGTTTTGCTATTGAGCCTAAGACAGTGAAATTCAATAATCAATTGCTGTTCTAGTTGATCTAATCATGTAGCACAAAAGAATATCTAACAAAAGAATGAATTATATTTAATTTGGTGAACTTTAATGCTCTCAATATAAAATTAAAATTGAAATAGAATGACTCACTTCACTTGAATGCCTAAAGTATTAAGATATTTCTTATATTTTTACATAATTTCCAAAGCATTTAAAGAACATCTAACTCTAATGTATCATTTATTAAAATACTTTATGTCACGAATTAGGAACTTTTGACTTCTTGCCGACAATCACCTGCATCTTTATTCCATATTAGTAACCCAATGGCTATTCCTTTCTGATTTCAGATTATAGAAGTCTGCAACTTTACATTTCTGCATTTTTATTTCTAGCTATTATCTCTGTGATTTCCACCTTCTCCAATTTTGAATTCCTTTTGAATCTGCCTTTTCCTTTTCACATGTTCTTTCTGAACATTCTCTGTCCCCTAAAGACAGAGGATTTCACTTATTCTTTCTACCCAGCCTAAGGCATGGTCAATCTTGTCAACAGCATAAGTGGTAGCATCCTAGCAATTCCTTATCCTATCAATACTCCTAGCTGACTAGTCATTATATTTGAGAAATCTCCACTTTTTCATGTGTACAGGAAACTAAGGGAGTGAAAACAAACTAGGCCAACTACCTGGATTGAATCAAAATTATATAGACAGAGTCTCACTCTGTCACCCAGGCTGGAGTGCATTGGTGCGATCTCTGCTCACTGCAGCCTCCGCTTCCTGGGATCAAACAATTCTCCCGCCTCAGCCTCCAAAGGAGCTGGGACTACAGGCATGCGCTGCCATGTCTGACTAATTTTTGTATTTTTAGTAGAGATGGGGTTTCACCATGTTGGCCAGGATGGTCTTGATCTCCTGATCTTGTGATCCACCTGCCTCGGCCTCCCAAAGTGCTGGGATTACAGGCATGAGCCACCACACCCAGCCCCCATATTCTTAAATCTTAGTACAACTCTTGATACATAGAAGGTGATGAGAAAATTTTAAACCTTTTATTTCCTCTTTTGTATTTGTTTTAGACTGAATTAATGAATTGAGTCTATAGCAAATTCCTTTTATTATTGCACTCCCGTGGTTGCAATAATCCCTTTATTCACCTTTGACTACATCCTATGCCTAGGGAACAGCAAGCCTCTTTTGATTCCTTAAAGTAACTCTTTTAAACGAAAAAAACCCAGAGCTTTTGATAAGGCCATAGAAAGTCCACTCAAAAGAGAAGAGAATAGAGGAAGCAAGCAAAATTTAAAGTTTGAACAATACTACCGTCTGAAAGCAACAATAAATGTTTCATTATTTAATTAGAGAATTAGCAGTTATTTCTTACAGTTATTTTCTCAGAAAATAAAATATATAATTCATTCTTGGGTATTTTTTTCTCAGGAGAAGTATTGCTTATGGAAAGAAAGAGATTTTTTCAGTGATCGGTTTTATTATTATTATTATTATTATTATTAAGCATAATTTTTAACACAGTCTGAACCTGCATAATTAAAGCAATTATGAAGTGTATGCTGTGTGTGTGGGTCTCTCCGTATGAGCCAAGAAATAAATGTATGTAGATCAATTGTCACAAACTCCAGCCATCTGCACTTACATTGCACTTTATCAAATGCAATTGGCATAGCCAAAATGGGAAATTATTGGGTGTCAAACTACAGTAGACTAGTTAGGCATAGTACAGTCTAAAATTTTCCGTTTATTTTGACTGGCTTCTGAGTTTTGGTGTAATTGTGTAGGAAGAGAATTACTGGAGAAGAACACATATCAGAAAGGACAGCAGTTACCATTGTTTCACACATCCTGAACCAGTGTATATTCTAATTCTGTGAGCCTCCTTGTTTTCCATTCATTTTTTCATCATCTCTGATTTATTCTCTGTGCTCATAGGAACATCATTTATGCCCTTTTCTAAACTTTATATATTGTCCTTGATTTTTATTTCTAATGCCAAATCCTCTTAGTGTTGGCAAAGTATTTCTTAATAGAATATAAGGCTGAAATATTTTCTTCTTTAGTTTCAGACCAGTGCTTCTTGTCCTTCTCTCTTCTGATACTTTGAATAATCACAGTCTTTCATTTATACAGATACTTGTAAGGTATTTATAGACTGTGATCAAATCCCTCTCAACCTTCTCCTCTCTTGACTATACAAATGTCTATGACCCTATATCTCATCCAACACACTATTTGTATCATTTTTGCCCTTCTTTATTATTATTATTTTTCCATTAGCTCTCTCAATTCTTGTACAACTTTTGTTCTGCCAGGATAAATAGCAATGTGATAAATCACTTATTTTGTATCATAGATTATAAAGAGTTTAATATTTGAACAGAAGGTTTTGTCATTGCATCAAGTTATATGCTCATTACATAGACTGTATTTACTCTTCAATTATTACATATTCAATTGTTTCTGGATTATAGTGTTTACAGATCATGCTTTAATTTCTATATGTTCCTTCCCTGAAAGAGCCTCAATTCTCTCAGTGACTAGAAATACATATATTAACTCTGAAAAAAAGCTTTATGTTGTCAATAATTTGCTGATTACAGCTGCAAAAATCTTGTCTCAGTTTGTATTTGTTCATCATAAGCTTAACTGATATCAAATATAATTACTATTTTTGAAGTCTCTATCTTTGTGCCCTTTTGTAATTTTTTTCTAAACCTATAAACAGCAATGCAAATAAGCATGGCTATATCTATACTCATGTGTGTATAAATGTTTAAATATGTGTTTATATACATACTTATCTATATACGTATCTATGAAAAGTAGTTATAAGTGCTCTACTAATTTATTAAATGCATTTGAAAATAGAGATCTTGAAGAATTCAAAAGGAAAATTTATCTGGCCCACTGATCAAAATGACCTTAAATACAATGATAAAAACATACATAAAAACCTCTGAATGGCTGGGCACGGTGGCTCACTCCTGTAATCCCAGCACTTTAGGAGGCCAAGGCAGGTGGGCCACCTGAGGTCAGGAGTTGCAGACCAGCCTGACCAACATGGTGAAACCCCGTCTCTACTAAAAATACAAAATTAGCCAGGCATGGTGGCACATGCCTGTAATCCCAGCTACTTGGGAGGCTGAGGCAGGAGAATCACTTGAACCTGGGAGGCGAAGGTTGCAGTGAGTCAAGATCATGCCATTGCACTCCAGCCTGGGTGCCAAGGGAGACACACCATCTCAAAAAACAAACAAACACCTCGTAATAAAGAATTGTGGGGGGAAGAAACAGACGGCAGTAGGCTATGTATACATGTGTGTACTAGAGAGAGAGAAATTGTTCATGTATCTGTTATGAGGAATGATTGGTCCTCAGAAGTCCAGAGTATTTCCCAAAGGAACACAAGACAAAGAGGTGATCCACTTAAGGGGCCCTAATTTTATTCATTCATTCATTCATTCATTCATCTATGCATGCATTGTGTGTTGAGATTTGGGAAATTAGCAAAGAGGTAGAATATACAGAGGTGGATATTTAAAGGAAAATGTTTTATTAAGCTTATTTCTTCTCTTGCATACATTGGGAGTTGGGGAAGCATTGAATATTATAATGGCATTCTGAGTTTAATTCAGGACTTTTGAGAACTATCAAATGTAAACTGTCATTACTATATGATTATAGTAGAAAAGTAAATGACAGTAAAAAAAATACTACAAGTACAAATTTATATGTTTACAAAAGTCTTTAATGAAGGCACTAAAAGCACATCTGAAATTGTAAGGAAAAGTAGGGTTTAAAGCTTTCTGAAATTGTTCCCTTCTTATGAAATCCTACACTGTACACCTACATCCTGTGCCTTATATTTTGTTTCAAATAAAATATATGTTATGAAAAATATTACATCTAAAATACAATTTGTGAGTGGTCAATTCATACTTACATGAACACTAGGGAGTTAATGTCTACTTATCACCAACTTTTCAATAACAGATTTTAGGTGAACTCTTCTACTGTGATGATTAATGCAGCATATTAAACCTATGTCATTTTTATGTGGTTTAATATGTTTTCCAGAGTATCATGATGTAATTTTTCCAAAGCAATATCGTTATTGAAAGTTCCCAAATATTACAACTTTGCAATTTCTAATTGTCCATGCATCTTCAGTATGTACCATCTTGTTTTTTTTATATGGCCCTAAAGTTCTCCATGACAAAACAGATATATAAATAAAACATAAGTGGAAGACATCCCAGGCCACTCCTTCAAGGGGTCCATGTCTCCTAAGATGAGAGGATAATGTATATAAAAATATAAAGATGGCAGTAGTATTTTCTCAGGAAAACAAACATGCAAAAACCCCATTTTTTTCATATTTGTTTTCACTGGAACAAGGAAACAAGTTTTGCAATATTACTACAGGCAATTGCAATCCTAAGGCAGAAGGTTCTACACAAACATGTCAATTTATTTCTTAATGGCATTGTCATGAAATACCAAATGTGTGTGTCTCTCTCCAGTCTTGTATATAATTATCTGTTCGGTCATCTTAAACTTCCCCCCACAGAGCCCCTCATTAATGCACAAACTCCACCCTGTCCCATTCCTCTGCCAACGGAATTTCCTCAGTGGGCATTTACATTTCTTTTTAACCTGCAAAACTTGTTGTGAGGCCCTTGCCTTAGTTACCTGTCCTGATCTTGAATGATATCTTCTTGTTTACCATGATTATGGTTGGCTCCAGATACTTGTTGCTGTGGCTCTGCCAGGTTATAGGTCTTTACTGAAATTCAACTTGGGCTCACAAACTTGAATACAAAACATCAGAGGCTAAACATGAGATATTTAATTCCCACTTGTCCCATGAGCAAACACTCAGCATCCTCTGCACCATAGAACACATGCTTCTGTGTATGTTTCAGGTACCCCAATCCTCTACAAATACTAACTTATGAATTAAATATATACTGCCAAAATAGTAATACTTACCTTTATAACACTCAATCTTACAATAAATATCTTATTTTTAAATCACCCATAAGTTCTAATGTAGAAAAACAAAATATTAATTCATTCTTATTCCATTTTAAGAGGTAATGGAAGATAATTAAACATCTTATTAACACTTTTTACACTGATGTTTATTTTAAGTCATTCTCAAACTTCAATAGCCTCATTATTTTTTAAGTTATACGTAAGTACCAGTTTTTTGATCCAGTTTTGCAGGAGCACATAAGTCAATCAGGCAAGGGACTAGAACCAATGGGAAACTGGACTGAGACCTCAGTCTGAGACCATGAAACTAAATATGCAGTTCCTAAGATTGCTGTAAATCAAGAGTCCAGAAGACCCCAGGTTAAGGTGGCAACCAAATAATGTGGACTCTCAGTTCTTAGCAGCAAGCTGACAAGCCAGCAACCATAAAATCAAGGACCAGGAAACCAGTGATATCCATGACCTTGGTGGGTCAAAAATCTGGCACTTGTGATGTCAAAGGAAATTTGTAGGATCAGCAAATTTGACTTGATTAAAGTAGGCAAAAGGCCACAACAAAGATGTCTGGTTTTGCATGAGAATTACCCCAATAATCAGATGTAGAGAAAAGAAGGAGATTACATTCTGGGCTCTTCCAGCTCATCATATGGCCTTGTACTTGATAGAGGAAGCAGGCAGAAATGACAGGTTTCTAACAAAACTGGGTGGACAAATGAATGAGCATAGGTAATCATTCAACACACATTTATTGATTTTCTACTATGTGAAGGAAGAGTGTAGGCATTGATGAGATAACTAGAATTAAGACATGGAGTACTTATCCTTCAATTTACTATTAGGATGGATACAGAAAAGTAAATAAGCAACCACACAGTAGTTTAATACATGCTATCATGTGAAGAAATATCAAATACTCTGGTCATACATAAATGGGTCATCTAATGTGGTTTAGCTCTGTGTCCCCACCCAAATCTCATCTCGATCTAGAATCCCCATGTGTCAAGGGAGGGACCTGGTGGGAGGTGATTATGGGGGTGGTTTCCTCCATGCCGTTCTTGGATAGTGAGTGAGTTCTCATGAGATCTGGTTTTATAAGGGGATCTTCCCTCTTCATGCTCTCTCTCTCTCTCTCACTTGTTGCCGTGTAAGAGGTGCCTGCTTCCTCTTCTACCACAATTGTAAGTTTCCTGTGGCCTCTCCAGCCATGCGGAACTGTGATTCACTTAAACCTCCTTTATTTATAAATTACCTAATCTTGGGTAGCATCTTTATAGCAGTGTGAAAACAAATGAATACAGCATCTAACCCAGTTTCTGAAGTCATGGAAAGTTTTTAGGGGAATGGAAAGCTAAATGGACACCTTAGGAATAGAAGAGAAGAGAGAATAGTATTTCAGGCAGAGGGGAGAGCAAATGCAAAAAGGAGGCAAAGATGTGAGAAAGAACATGGAGCATGAACAGAAATACCAGTTCAAATGATTCAAAATATAAGTGGTTCAAAATGCCTGAAGGAAGTGCTTGGAGCTTTGGAGGAAGTGCTGGAGACACATAGTGAGTGTGTGTATATATATAGACATTAAAGATCTTGTAATCTTTAGTATTCTAGTATTCTATATCTGAAATCTTAGTATTTCAGATATCTGTAATTTCAGATATCTGAAACAATTAAAGCATTTGACTAAAGACACATGGTTCGAGGTAAAGTGCTCAGGGAGTAGAGATTCATACTTTCAAAAAGTGGCCACCCCAAAATATTGTCCACTAGAATGTGTCTTAAGCATGCACATATCCTAGCTGTCCTCTTTATTGTTTTTCTTTTCCCTTGGCTCTGACTTCAAATTTGCCTGATGAGTAACTCCCAATACAGGTTGAGCATAATCCAAAAACCTGAAATCCAAAATAAATGTTCCAAAATTCAAAGTATTTTGAGCATGGACATGATATGAAAAGCAGAAAACTCTACACTCAACATCATGTGAAGAATTGCAGTCAAAATGCAGTCAAAAATGGTTTCATACACAAAATTATTTAAGATACTATGTACAATTAACTTAAGGCTACATGTATAAGGTGTACATGAAACATAGAATAAATTTCATATTTAGACTTGGGTCTTATCCCCAAGATATCTCATTATGTATATGTAAATATTCCATAATCCAAAAAAGTCTGAAATCTGAATCATTTCCGTTCCTAAGCATTTCAGATACAGAAAACTTAAACTGTAAACTAGACTTAAAATCATTATTTCTACTGTGCTAACTCAGTGTCTAAAGGTCACTAACTAAAACTGCTCTTCCTTCCTGGTATTGATCATAACATGTAATTTATATTGTCCCACCATCTAACCTTGATATTTATTTAGCAAGGGATCAAACATATGTATTCAATATGCTCTTATATCTTGTGTTTTATGATTTTATAAATATTCTGATTTTCAGTTTAGAAATTTCGTTGAGCACCTATTATGCATGAGATACCTAAAGATGCTAGGTGATAAGCACCTAAAAGTGACTAAAACAACCCTTGCCATCATGAAGCTTATAGTGTAATTGGGAAGAAATACATAAAAACAAGAGAATTTGAAATTATAGCATGGTACATACTAAAGCTTGTTGACCATCCCTACTCCCCTCACATCTGTGACCTTTTGTCCTCTAAAACTCAGTATAATTTTTTTAAAACCATAGGACATCTCTAAATTGGGAAGGAGAGCATCTTTTGTGGAGACAAAGGCAATGATAGGCAATTATCCCTTCACTCTCTTGCTACAGTTTCCCCCGTCAGCATACTCTATTCTTTTCATTATAAAACAAGTCACCCAACCCCACTTCTCACTCCAGTTACAGTCCTATCTCTTTTATCTTTCATAGTGAAAATTTTCCCTGTGTCGTCTACTCTATCTCTATTACTTCCCTATCCAAACTCCCTTTCGAACACCCCAATCTGCCTTCCCCTCAAAACTGTATTGAAAAATAACAGACTTAGTCATCAATGGCTTTTGTGTTGTTAATATTTTGTCCTCTCAATTTCTTGATCTCTTAATTTTACTCAAACCTATTGACTACTCCCTTATTTTTGATACATTTTCTTGGCTTCCGTGACATGAGAATTTCTGCTGTTTGTTTCTTTTACTCATACCACTGTAGTTACTTCTTTACCTCATCCTACCTCTCTTCTGGCTTTAAAGGTTGAAGTTTCTCAAAGCTGTTTCCCAGACTCTGTCCTAGAATATATAGTTCAAGAGGTACAGAAGCACAGAAGACTGACAAAGAGTTCTCTACCTGATGCAGTCTGATAGATTCCTGTAGTTTGACTTGTGTCTGGGAGAATGAAGAGAAGTGTGCAAGACAGATAAATCATCAAGCTTAAAAACCATAAAAGAAATGGAAAAACCAAGAGAAAGGTGACAAGGATCCTCATTATGGTTTGTAATTGTAGTTGAAGTTGGTGAATTTTGTGAAATGATATTGGACAGAGGTTAAAAATAAACTGTGAAGGCAGCAGCTAAGATAAGGATTTAAAATTTTCAATTAATAATAAGGATTAGACAAATATAACCAGGTGGTAATTTACATTTTTAAAATTAAAAAATAAAAATAACTCTGATAGCATTGTAGATAATTATCTGAATTGCAGAAAAATTGGGGCAATGAGTCATGCTAGGTGCTCACTTCAGTAGTTCAAGTTAATGACAGAACATGATGAGTGTTGAGAAAAGAAGGCGGAATTCAAGAGATATTTTTGATCTGGAAGAGGTGAAACATCTGCACTGGGTATTACTAACAAAGCTTTAGAGAAACAGGTGGATTCCAGAGATATGAAGGAGATAAAGCTGACAAACCTTGCAGATTCTTTGGACAGGAAGAGTACATGTCTACTCCTATGTTCCTGGCTCATACAATTGAAAGGAGAGTGAGGTCATACATTGAGAAGGGGAGGTGGACCATGCTGCATGGGACACTTTCAGCCTTATGTGGCCTGAAGTATCTTTTGAAACATGAGGGAGTGGATATCAAATAGGCAGAAAACTGTATCTGTAGCTCAGAGGAGAAGCCTAGGCTAGAGATGACATACATTTTCTATAGATGATGATTGAAGCCAGAGTGGTGGATCAGGATGTCTTTGAAAAGAGTGCATGGTCAGTAGATAATAGTCTAGGACAGAGCTTTAATACACCCCAGCTTTTGAAAACAGAAGATTTAAGAAGATTTTAAGATACCTAAGACTTTAATATCCAAGGTAGGGTGAGGTGAAGAAGTAGCTACAGTGGGATGAGTAGGACAAACAAATAACATAAATTCTCATGTCACAGAAGCTGAGAAATGTATCAAAAATAAGGACATAATCAACAGTATTGAGAAAAGTTAAGAGATTGAGAAATTGAGAGGACAAAAATTAATGACATCAAAGCTATTGATAACTAAACCTGTTACTTTTCAAAACAGTTTCGAAGGAAAGGCAGATTGGAGTGTTATAAGGAGAGTTTGGGTAGGGAAGTAATAGAGAAGTAAGAGTAGATAATACAGGTAAAAAATTTGACTGTGAAAGAGAAAAGAGATAGGACACTAACTGGAGTGAGAAGTCGGGTTGGTGATTTGTTTTATAGCGGAAAAGAATAGAGTATGCTAATGGGGGAGATTGTAGCAAGAGAGTGAAGGGATAATTGGCTATTACCTTTGTCTCCACAAAAGATGCTCTCCTTCCCAATTTAGAGATGTCGCATTGTAAAAGATCTGAGTTTTAGAGGACCATAGGTCACAGGGATTGGGGAAGTAAGGATGGTCAATAGGTCATCCACAAAAGAGAAATAAATGAATTTTGGGCTGTGAACCTGTATAAAGAATAGGGAATTCCAATATTTGCTCGTACTTTACATCTTGAGTTGTAGAAAAATAACTGAATAAGAATTCTAGCTGTCTCCTCTTTAGTTCTGTAATCCACATATGGATGAAATAGGATCCACTCAGCAGGTTGCAAGCTTGTGCTTCTAAACATATTTAGTTGAGCAAGAAGGCACAAAATGGAACCATATGTGTTTTCTTTTAAGGTAATCTGCTTCAGTAGTATTGTCAGCACTTCTGAGAGCCCTTTCCATGTGCAGCTTGTCATACTTTTCATAAATACTCTGTTGAATCATTTGATGTCATCTATTAAACCCTCCTTCCAAATATTTATTCATTGTTTTATGGGATTTATGAAAATAATAGCCTCTATACTAAGATATATTGTAAGAATGTTAAATCACAAACAGAGCTAACAAAGATATTATATTTCAAACATTCAGTTATATTTTAGGAACAGCCTAAAGATAGGCCTTGTGCCTAAGTTAAAAACAATTAGGCCTTGTACTGAGCTTTGATGGTCAACAAACATAGGTAAGTTTAGATCAGAAATGAGATTTCTAAAATAACGATTCTTTAGAAAAAAGCCCGTGTTTCTTTCCTATCAAACCCAAATCCTGGGGTTATTATTAGGAAACCCCAGAGAGACTTCACTTTCTTTTGCTTTATAACGTATATTCTTTATATGTTATAACTTTAAAACATATATTCTTTATACGTTATAACTTTAAAACATATATTTAATATATTTAAAACAAATATTCTTGGCAATATTGATCTTCATGTAGCATTTTACATTTGCAAAGCAATTATCTGACATACTTCTCTTAACATTGAGAGATATATTTATGTTAGACCCCAACACCTATATTCATTTTCAGTGGTCTGTGCTATTTGTTTATACATTTTATTTAAACCAGAATCTTATTTCTCATTATCAGAATCACCTCCACTTTATTTCTCTCTCTCCATAAGTCCTTTAAACATGTTCTGTGTATGGTGCTCATTCGGCAAATGCTCTTTACTTAAGAATGTCCATACCAAGGGAAGAAAAGTTGTTAAACAGTGAAATAAGCAAATGGTAAATTTTTGCACACTATAACTTCTTGTAACTTATTCATTAGTATTCTACAATACATTTTCAGTTGTTACTGTTTTATTATTATTATTTTACGTTGACAGATACAATTGTTTGTATTTACTTTGTACAACATGATGTTTTTGAAGTATGCAAACATTGTACTTTTTTTTCTGATATAAATGATTGTCATACAAATGCCAGTTAAATGTATTGAATGAAAATGCTATGCCTCTCAATTCTGGCTCAGAATATATTTCTTCTTTTCCTTTCTCAGACTTACTGCCTGGTTTTCAAATATATTACATCTTGATTTTGTACCCATATAGCTTTCTCTTAGTCAGTTGCATGGCAGCCAGATATTCTAGTTAGTTTATTCCCTTTCACATGCTGCTCTGTCAAAACTGTTCACTTACATTTTCCACAGATCACCACTAACCATGAACAACATTGCTCTGTAAAAAACCTGCTGTCCATAGTCTCTACGCCAGCTGCCACTATGCCCTGCACTTTCCTTCATTCTCTGGGACATGTCACTCACGTGTTTTAGCAAATGCCGACTGTCCCTTATATCTAGCACACTATCCCTCCAACAGGGACATTTTTGAAGTATTCTAGATTCATTTAACTTGGCACTTTCTTCTATCTAGCAAATACCATTCATTCATTCACTTCTGGCTTCTCTTGCCAAGTACCGTGTTCCCAATATCATGGCTAAAGTTTTCTAACATACTTCACTTTTTCCTTTATGAGAATATCTTTCATTCAGCTGCTTTTTTTTTTTTTAACTTTTGCAGGCTGCATCTCCATCTTCTATCAGAAACATTTTCAAAAAGAGCTCAGTTTTTTAAAAAAATATATAATGTTACCTGTTTTTCAGTGTGGACCAGAACAATTGTGCTATGTGCACTCTAAAAATAGATAGTGAAGAGCTATCACTAGAATATTGCATTGTTTCTATGCAAATGTGTATTTCTTTCTTTGTGGAAGAACATGGGATATTATACAAATAGTACAGATATTCCCCTGTAATAAAAGCTATAATGTTAGAAAGTGAGTAACATTCACAGCTTTAATCTATGGCAATGAGTTTTATCAGTAAGAATGTCAGAGAACATAAGCAGTTAAGATTCCTGGAGGCAAAACGGATCCAATTAAGGTGATTTACCACATTCCAAAATGACTTGACAGGTACATTTAACTCTCTCAAATGATATCTGTTCTTATATCTGTCATGGATTAGAAAATTATGAGAATTCAAGATATCATCATCCCTTTCACCACCACCACCATCATCATCATCAAAGGCATTTATTGAGTGTATTTCTATGATGGATCTGATACTAAAACCTTTTAGACATATAGCTCATACCATAAAAGAAGTTCTAATCTGCTGCAGTGATATGAAAAACCTATACTGAACACACACATACATTAAGTAATAAAGTGCCAAAATTAAATAGCACTGCTACTTTAAGTCCAAGATATTTGTTTTAAGATAAACAAGTTGCTAATAATTTAGATCAAGGGGTCATGACACTTCTGCAAAAGGCAGACAGTAAATATCTTCTGCTCTGTGGATCATTTGGCCTCTGTAGCCACTACTCAACTCTGATATGGTAGTGTAAAAGCAGCCATAGAAATATACAAATAAATGACCATGGTTGTGTTCCTATAAAACTGTATTTACAAAAAGAGGTAGTGTGCTGTATTTGACCTGTAGGCTATAGTTTGCTGGTTCCTGATTTAGATGGTGGAAGGAACTAACATATTTGTAAAGTCTTAATAAAAAACAAAAATAAAATATACAGATTTTAGAGATAAAGAGAAAATGATATGAGCCATAAAACCAACCTGAACTTTCAAGAGAGAAAAGAAAATACTTAGAGTCTAAAAATAATGGGAAACTATAAATTCAAAGAGGTAAATCAGTATTAAAACTTGTGGCTATGAATTCGCAGTGGCCTAAATCTTTAGTTTGAATGATCCGCGGGAGAAGGACTGAATGCAAAGACTAGGATCTCTGCAAGGTAGGAAGTGAGACTTTAAATCTCTGTATAAGTCTATAACTTTAAGAGACAATCAATGGCTGGTCTCAAAATTAAAAATAAAACTATATAGATAGAGATAGATAGAAACAGAGATATTAGATAGAAATAGAGATAGATAGATGATTAGATAGAAATAGAGATAGATAGATAGATAGATACATAGATAGATAGATAGAAATAGAGATAGGTAGACAATAGATGATAGCGTGCTAGATAGATTGATAGACAGACATATGCCAGAAGAGACTGGTAAATATATATACTGAGAACTGATAATCCCAAGATACACAGGCTTGGATTTCAAATTCACATTATCTTTGTGTCACCATAAAATTTAAGCTCTTCATTTAATAAAATGTGGTTTTAAGTTGATTGTGTCTTCAGGTATCTGCACGAAGCAAAAAACTCAGACATGTTAAATTTTCTCACACATACAATTCCAAGGAATAGGAGCGTATGATCAAAGAACAAGACATTACTACAACTATCAACGCAGTATTGCCAAAGAGAGTCATAGAAATATAAATGTAAAAAAATGAAATTAGAAACTGATTAGAACAATTAAATAGATTAGTCACAAGTAAAGAGAGAATTCATGAAATGGAAGATAGAACCGAATAAAGTTTCAGACATAAGCACAAATAAAGAAATGAGACCTACAAAAGGCATCCTAAAAGACATAAAAATAGTTAGAAGTTTAATATATGTAATTTGAGTTTTATAGAGAATAAAATGAATAGGAAAAAGCCACGTTCAATAAAGTAATTAATAGCTATAAAATTACCATATTTGAAGCTCAACCAATCCAAAGAAGAATAAATCAAAAGGCATCCTGTCCATGACTCACTATAATGAAAGAAGAAAAGGTGGCTGAGAACAAAGATGGATTACAAAGCAACAACCATTAGACTACCTGACTTTGCAGTAGCAAGAGTGGAAGCCTAAAGTTGTGGGATAATATCTTTAATATTCTGAGAAAATATAACTTCAAACATAGAATTGTAAAATCACCTTTCAGGAATAAGAGTAAAGCAAAAAATATAGATAGATAGATAGATGGATATAATTAAGCAATCTTACTATAAACAATTCTTTCTAAACTTTTAGAATATGAGTTTCATGAAGATGTTAATAATTTAAAAAAACTAAGAGTGACAGAAAAATGTTAATCAGAGAAAATAGCAAGCATAAGTTTAATTTAAACAAAAAGTAATGGCATAAGACAAAATGTATTGATATTAAATGTCAGAATTAAAGTATTGGATAAAAATATAAGTTGGGAGATAACACACTCTAAGATCCTCATATTGTTTGGGAAGAGAGAATAGATATTCCTTAACTCAGGACATGAAAAATTATATCTGCATGCTAATATTTTGATGATAACCACTTAAAAAGCAGAGGTAGAATGAGTAACTTCCAAACTAATAGAATGAAAAAATGTGGGAGCTTAGTAGACAAACATGAAAGCAAAGAACAACAAAAACACTCTGTATCAATTCAGAAAAAGTGAGAAAGGAACGAATGATATATAGAAAAAAAGAGCAAATAGAAAGCCCAATTAAAAGGATAGAAACTATTTCAAATTTGTCAATTATTATTGTAAATATAAAAATAGCCAAATTCTAAGGCTAAGAGACAAAGACATCAGAATGAAATGAAGGTTACAACTATATCTATAGTAACAACAACAACAACAACAAAACCCCGCTAGCCAATAGATACTAAAAAAAATAAACGTTAGTGTCCTATATTATCATTTCATAAAGTAGACTTTAGAAGAAAGGGCATTGCTAGCCAAAAACAGAGGTGATAAATAATGAATGATAAAAAATTCGATTCACTAGAAAGATAAAACAATTTACAATTTTTATACTGCTAAAAATATGGCTTCAAAATATAAAATGAAAAATATTTGAGAACTTGAAGGAAAAATTAAGAAATGGTAGATTTTAAATGCTATATATTATGTTCTTTAAAAGGGACCTGACAAGATTTATGAGGTCCTCAGTAAAGTTAAAAAATAATGAAAAACCAACTGTGATTGATTTTTTTTTTTAACAAACTGATAACCTGCTATGGAATTCTGAATAGACAGGCAGCTTGAAGATAAACCAGTAAAATCACTGATTTTAAGAATAAAGGGACTGAGGTCCCAGCAGGTTTGGTAATAGACCAAAAGGTCAGACAAGGTATACTGGCAAAAGTAGGACTAGAAGCAAATTAACCGATTTCAAGGTCAGAATTTTTTTCTATATTACTATCAACAAATTAAGGATATTTGCACACAGCCCTATTCTCAACTGCAGTTCTGTTATAACACAAGTATACTGGTTTTATTTTGGTTTTCTTTGCTTCCTCACAACCTCCTTTATCTTATATGGTGAGAGAAGTAGATTTGTGTTAAAATAAAAACTGGAAGACACAGATATTTCAGATAGGATGAAATGAAAAAGTTGTAGATAGCAAGTACACAAAACTAACTTGGAATAAGTCACAGAAGTTTAATTTTGGTATAGAATATTTTCCCCTTTAAAGTTAAATATAAGTAATACCACATCCTGTTCTGAGAATAAATGCTGTAGATTCTGCTGGAAATTACTTACAACTGGAAGTAATCTGGACACTATCAGAAGTCTGAAGAATCCTATAATCTCTTTCACTATTCACATCACCATGTGATGAAGTTTGTAGGACTGGTGGAGAAGAAAAATGTTATAAAGAAGGTTACACTCTTTACTTATGGTATATTTATTATTTGGCCTTCTCTAACCTGGTATCCTTTTGACCACTCCTCAAATACGATTATGAAAAATAATTATCAAAAAAAGCTCACTCTTAAGAAATCCAATGAATATTTTTTACTTCTAATTTGACTTACTCTCCCTTGGTCTTTAAAGTTATTTATTGCTTTCTCCTTCTTAAAGATGTCTTTTCCCTTGGTCACTGTGATATCATTGTTTTCAGATTTTTTTTTCAAAATGGCTCTTTATATTACCAAGAATCAGTTTTCTGACTTCGTATTTCCTTACTCTACATTATCTTCCTTTGAAAGGAAAGCTCACTATGAGTCTTGGTTTACATGAATTGAAACTGGACTATTGATATTTATTCAGATTAATATACAATGTCATCTTCTCTTGACTTAACTGCACAATCTCTGCTCTCAGTTATTTTTTCATTCAATCTGTTTTTCATAAGGTGGCCAGATACATAATTTTTAATGTAGAAATCTAATCATCACATCCTTACCCCAAAATCTTTAACACCTTCATTATTACAGAGATATTGAAAAAAAAATGAAAGAAAAATGTCTCTTCAGCCCAGCATACAAAGCCCTCTATCATCTGTCCTCAGGTAAACTTTCTAGGCTTCTCTTCATGATTTCCATGATTCTACACCATATATATTATACTTGAACAACACAAGACTACTTACTATTAGTCTCCAGACATGCTATTCTCTCTTGCATTTTCATAATTTTGGTGTTTCTCTCTCCATGCATAAAATCTTTTTTTTTAAATGAAATTATCTGCCTGGTAGGCTACTTATTGCTCATTCTTCAAGGATTAATGCATATGTTATTTCCTCAGTGAAGTCCTTCTAGGCTCCCTCAGGCAGGGTTAGTATTCCCTTCTTAATGTAGCCAAGACGCTTTATTCCTCTCTCTATTATCGACTTTCCACATTGTATTAGAATGCTTTGCTAACTGCTTCTCTTCCCCAGTGGACTGTGAGCTCCTGGAGGACAAGGCAATGAAAGTAAAGCAGAGTGCCTGGAACATAGCGAGTACTGGATAATTTGATGTTGGCTGCACAAATGGCCTGCTCTGACAACTGATGCCTTGATTGCACTGGTGAATGCCTAAGAGTTTCTGGAATTGAAGCTCATATCCTATGTTAGCTGAAGAGGGTGTGTCTGTAAGAGTAAAAGGGCAATAATTTGGTTTAAATATAAACCAAATAAAATATAATAAAAAGTCAACCCCTTTTATCTTTCTGGCTTTTCTGTTTCCATAATTCTATCTATGATGTAGGTGTCACCTTTTCCTTTGAACCCGACATCCAATCAGTCACTACCAATTAGACTATCACTGAAAATAATGTATTATCACTTTCTCACTTTCTGAACTATGGTTTACATTCATCCTTGTTTTCCGTCCTTTTTATTCCCACCTGACTTGAGACTAGACATTTCCCATTCATATTGTTATCACAGTCTCCTAATTACAAAAGTTTTAAATTTCACCCCTTGAGCCATAACCCATCTTATATATTCTATTCCTAAGGTAAAATATACCTAAGTGGCATTTCAAACGAATCACTCCCATATTAAGTACAATAACAAAAACTTCCAATGATATTAAATAAACTACACTAGCCTAGTATTCAAATTCTTCAGTACTCTGGCTGTAGAGCTCCTTTCTGGCTTCACTTTCACTATGACCTCACCGGATCTTTGTTTGCAGTCACACTGGTAGCATCGTGAAGCAGGAGCCATGTCACCTGTAGTCAACATTCTATCATCACCACATAGCACATTTCCTAGGACATGCTAGATATTCAAAGCTTGTTGAATAAATGACTGAAAGGATGCAGAATTTTCAAAATTCCCTCTTCAAGTACTTCTTCTACAGGAATGGGTAGAGTGGGAAGTGAGGAGACAGGGTGGGTATGTGGGTGGGAATAGGGCAAGTGACTTAAGCTGGTGTGGGTGGGCTCCAGTATCCACTTCTACTTCAATCAGAGCAACTCAACAATGCTACATATATAAGGTATGTATTGGGGTGTTAGTATACATTTTCATATTAAAAACAATGAGTTTTAAAACTGATGGATCACTTATTTTAATAAAGAAAAATGGGTAGGGCTTGGAAAAAAGAAAGACCACTTAGTTTAAACTCTATGAAACTCAGTTTCCTTTTTTATATCATAGAGTTATTATGAGGATGAAATGAAATAATGTATGGAAAGTGCCTGGCTCATGGTATGAAACTTCACCTTCCTTGTACCAACCCACTGCTTTTGCCAGCAGAGCCAGGACTAAGGTGAGGCAAGTGAGTGCTAGGGGCACAAAGTTTAAGGGGATAATCATTTTCAAGGTCATGCACTTGACCTACAAGTCATGACACACTGGCCAAACTAGACTTCAAACCTTTTTCAAACACATTGCTTATTCTTTTCACCAAGACTATCCTCCCTGCCAATTAAACCTAAGGAAAGCCTACCTAGAATACAACCCTTTCTTAATAAAAGCTTCTGCAGTCATCCACCGAGAGTGTGTATTTCATTTCTCTTTCTCTCTCTCCTAAATTCCAGTGAATCTTTGACTTATATCTTTCAGGCTTAACTCTTTCTGATAATAATAATAATCCTGCCTAGCTGCCCATCTTAGTGTATACATGTCTTAGCTCACCTGCTTGATATATGTGTTCTCCAGAATAGGATTCTATCTAATCTCAATTTATTTGGCCCTCTGTATCTAGTAAGGTAATTTTCACATAGTAGTTTCTCCATAAAACAATTGGGGATTAAATAAATATTCTTCTTATTTGGAGATAAAAGTGTATGTAACTCTTATACGTTGGGCTCTGGAGAGCTAGCTACTTTGGCATATGGATATATGGATTGAAGCCATTTCCAAACCTTCACTAAATCATTGCAGGCTTTTTATTTTTTATTTTTCTTAACATAGAAGCTTTTATTCATTTTGACCATCATTTACTCAAAGAAGCCTCAGGAAGCCACGGTTCTCTTTCTACTTTAGTGGAGCATTAAGTGGTCTGTTTCAGTGTCATGAACCTGGCTCCATGTCCTGGCCTATCTTCCTCCTGCTGTCCCCATGGCCTGTTCTAATTGTCTGGCCTCACACAGTCATGGGCCTTGGTTTTGTCTCCCTGGTAATGGCCACCCATAACCTGACATGTATTTGCTGTTTTGCTTCAATGAGGATGAGAGCTCTGTCTTCTCCCCGCTAAGCTGTGTTCTGCCTTGTAAATTAAAATGCTCCTCCCATTGCTCAGTCCTGGGATTTGGTGCTAGGCAGCCCCTGCTGCTTAAGGTAATTAATGGATCCTTGGGGCCTACACCTGTTTCTGTGCTTAACGCAATTCAAGGCAGGCCCTTCATTATCAACTGAACACAACTGTTGGAAATGGAAGCAGAGAACTCTGTAGTTGAAAGCTGCTTCCAAATGAAGAGTACATTAGCACCGGGAAGCACTGCTCCAATTGAGCTGATCTGCCTACCACTCACTTTTCAGTGATGTGTGCTGTTTCTCATTCATGTTCAGATAGCTACTCACCAGAGTTATTCAAAACTTAATTTTAGGACTGAGGTGCGTCTTAGTGCTTCTTTCCATATCTGCTCCTCCTCTCGGCAAAGACCTCTGTCACTCATACTGAGTGCCATATTTACATGCCAAGATAAAAACCACACACTCACACCATCTAAGAAGGAAAGTGTATTTTTTCCTTTCAGCAGCCAGATTTTAAAAACAAACAAACAAACAAGCAAAGCAAACAAAAACAAAATCACAGCTGCTTATCCCATGATAAAATAATTGACTTAGCAAAAAGACAAGAGATGTAGTTAACTCAAAATTGTTTTCTTTCAGAGTGAAAGGCATGTTACCAGTATCCAGCTACTCTAACTGTAGTACTGGATAGCTTTCATTGTATACATTTTAGTGTACTTTAATCAACTTCAAATTGCAATGCTTAGAAAAGATTATTTTTATTACATATTTTGTGGATTGATAGTGATAGCTAATCCACTGTGTTTTTGCTTCAGCCCACTATGAAAATTGGATATTGAATCAGCTGGGAAAATGAATTCCTTACTGAGCATTTCAACTTAAACTTGGGTTCCAAGTGGATTAAACAGATGATGTTGTAACACTGTTATCAGCCTGACAGGAAATGCATAGAGACACCAGTCCTCGTTTCTTAAAGTGGAGGAGCCTCAGCTAGCAAATTGCCACTTATTAGCTTGTCTCACCTATAAAAGAGCCATGGAAGAGAAGTGCAAGAGAACTGAAGTGATTTCCTGATGACAGCAGGGGGTGCTCTCACTAGACTGAAGGACAGATACATTCTCAGAGCAGTAGGAAAGGAATAACACATTGCCTTACTACGACTCTATATGAGACTTTAGAAGTGCCTAATACCTGCCTGGAGCAAAAGAATTAATATGCTCTATTCCACGGCTCTGCCGTCTTCAACTTTGATAAATACTTAAAAATGTATTTTTGAAAAGTCATTAACTTCTGGAATATAGGATTCAGCCACCACACTTAGAATGTGTGAAACTGTGGTGCAATTTGTAACAGGATGTACACCACATTTTTAATCAGGGAATTGTGTTTTTTAAAGCTAAGAGACCTGTAGTGAATTAAGGCATTTGGCTCAGCCAAACATTCCAATCACGAAACGATCGAAGAGGAAATCTATAGAATCTTATTATAAACTTACAAAAAGGATAACTGTGGGTCTCGGCCATAAACTGAAGTAATACAGATGAACTGGACACATATGTTGCACAATAGGTGATTCAGAGCAATATAGCCTATGCTGTTTTATGATATGGAAAGCAATCAAATCTTATTTGCAAAAAATTCAGATCAATTGAATTTTAATGAGAAGCAGGTGCTGGAGTGTAGCATCCACAAAGAATTCTGGGAATGTTTAAAATTAGTCCCATATTTGCCAGGAGACAGTTGGGTACATAAACTTTTTTATTTCTTGATTCATGGGTCTATTCGGACTGTAGATTGCTCTGCCATTCTGAGTTCAGCAATTTGAATAAATTATGCTGAAAATCACTTGGTGGTTCATTTTGTGTGAAATTATATTTTCGCTGGAAAGGTTAATTTTGAAGGGAGCTTGAATGGCTGGAAATTGTGCAGCTGGGGAGTCTGCATGTTCAGAAGGCAGCAGTTATTAAAAGCGATTGCATTTCCTCCCAGATTTCTCCTGAGACCAGAATCAGTGGAGATGTTAAACCTTGCTTGACACCCCAGTTGGATAATTGTGGGTGTGGGAGCTAATCAGCAGAAGATGTCTCCTCAATTTAAATCTTGTCAGTTAGTCAAGATTAGGGCTTCCTGTACCGAGCACCATTAGGTTGGTTGCATATCAATGTGCTTGGAAAGATGTCCACAAAGCCCAACTGTAGCAGTAAGAAGTTAGTGGACATCAAAGATTGAGAAATTAAGCCACACCACTCCATAAACACAAACTGGAGGGCAAATTGGCAAAAACAAAGAAAAAAATAGATCCATGGGTGCGTATAAAAGCAGTATTATATCCACTCAAAGAAAGCAAACATGTTACCTAATCTTAGAAGTCTTTATGGCAGGTATGGGCAGCAATATCAAGCCAAAGCCACAAATGAGAACACTTGTTGGCTCTCCCTTGCAATGAAGCGAGAGAAGGCAACAGAAATGGAAATGAAAATGAAGACTTTTTGTTTCAAAAGCAAAACCAAATTTTTCTTAAAAAAAACCACAGCGCAACACATCCCCTTCTAAGCTATGCAGTATGATTTGAGTTGTAGAGTAAAAGTCCGCTGAAATCTCAGGAAAAGCACTCTTTATTCCATTTATTTTTCAAATGGGAGAGTCACAGTTTAAAACGTTAGCATGCCGCCGTCGTCAGATGAACAGTGGTTGTTAAGGCATGCAGGCCCTCATCCAGATATTTAAAAGTAAATATTTTATCTAGGGAAAAGTATGGAATTCATAATTTGATGGCACAAAAGGCCAATAATATGTGGCAGCATGATCTCATTAGAAAATGGAATTTTAGCCCAGTGTGATCTGAGTAACTAGTTCCAAAATGTGCAGTGAATTTTATAGTTAGTCTGGCTGGCACTTATCCACGCTCCTGCATTCCCCAATGGTAAATATTTGTAACAGATTTCACGTTGTAACACAAGGGCTTCTTTCACAGAGCAGGTCATGTAATGCTTCAAAAAAAAATCAAGGCCAGGGCAAATAAACAAAAAGTCACGCCAAGTTCACCCCTCCCAAAGACGCTGAAGCCAGGCTGTGCATACAAACTTCACTTGCTACTCATCAGCATCAGCAATTTATGGCCAGATGGTTATAAATTTACATTCTATAAAATTTTAGAGGATGTTATTTTTTCCACTCAGTTTGTTAATTAACTTTCAGTCTTTTTATTTCCTCAAACGTAACAGTTCACTCTTTTTTTTTTTTTTACTAATGATACAGTATTATATTCTTTCCTGTCTCATAGCACACCTATTCAGCAAGACCTAAAATTTCATGAAAAGGATATAAAAAAGCTTTTGCAGCCACCAATACTGGGAAACTTCTTCTTCTGAGCATTCTTTTGCACTCCTGAGACAAACCACAATGGACAGGGAACCATTAAAATATACTGACAAATTAAACTGACATCAAATTCAGCCCTTTATGCCATTCTTGAAAAATCTCTTCCCCATTACATATATGTATACATACATGCATATAGTCAAATTAAAAAACTATACTGAAAATTCTAGACGTTTCTTTTTTTAACAAAAAACTCTACAAAATCTTTATTATCAAGAACTACTTTTTTTTTCTTCAGCACTAAAAACTGTTTTAAAACTATCAAGGAAAGAAAAGAAATGAGGATGAAAGAAAGGAAGAAACTAATCTTAGAGCTTCAAGTTGTAGAAATTCCATTAGTGTTTGTTAGTATTTGAATCCTGACCATTTAAAACTGTCTTTTAGCTATATATTTGTGTTACAGAATACTAATATTTACTTTTGTTATATACAAATTAAACAATAAAATACCTTTTTGATATAATGTTATATAGGCAGAAGATTGTAACAAAGGTTATAATATTTTAATATTATTTCCAGATTTCCCCTGTTTTTAAACTCAAAGCATGTAGGTAGGTTGGGAAGGTAGACACATTTTATGTGGATTTCTTTTGGAATATTTTTCATTAATAATTTCTAATGGCAAGTTTGTTATAATGTTGACATTTTCTGCATTTCATAGAAATATACCGAAAAACATTTTATAGATGCTGTGTGTGCAGAGTAATTGATTAAATATTTGAAATCATAAAGGAAAATATACTCCTGGGGTCACAAGATCCTAAAGGGCACATTTGTGTGTATTTCTCTCAGCTCTCACTTTTTACAGGTATATCAGGCGAAGAAGAGTTCAAGTAAACAGTCTCTAGGTGTGGATTTATGCCAATATGGTTCTACTCTGAATGTTAGCGAAAACTAAATTTGCTTATTTTCCAAAGGTTAGCTAGCCACAGTTGTGGCCCTGAGAATTTGAGACTAAACAGGAGCTGTGCTTTTTAACTTTGGTGCACAGTGCACGTACTTCTTTGTGCTTTTTACTGCACACACATTTCAATGGCTCTGAAACACATCTGAAATTGACATTCTGTACAGTAGAAAGAATAACCTAAAATAAGACTTGTTTCCTTAATAACTTTTTTCTTCAATAAAGCAATTAGTTAGAAATCTTTCAGTCTGGGTCCCTTAGATGGACTCCCTGCCCTCCCAACAGCAGATTTGGATTTCATTCTCTTTGCAAAATTTGGGGCCTGAAATTCTGGGTAATTGCCTCCTCTCACTGGATCTTTTTACCTGTGTAGACACAGACAGCTCTTTCTTTTAAAGACTGTCACAAATGAAACCCAAATCCAAATAATTGCATTGTTTCTTTTCTAAAAGATGGAAAGCAGACAGAAGAGAATCAAAGTGAAGTACATATTAAGGCAGATCATTAGGGAAAAGAAACAGGATATAAAAACCTGACGTGTCTGTGGCAAGATCCTGGCCACCTAACTTATTAACGCAGCGTCCATTGTGAGATGCCGCAGTTCCGTGCAGTCAGAAGATGGCTCCAGCGCGTTAATTTTGCTCCTGTTTCTAGCACGAGATTTAAGGGGCAAGATGCACTTCAGTGCTATTTTTCCTTTCTGATTTTGCCGTCGTCTCATTTGGTTCAAAACATCAAACTGCAGCATATATGGAGTTGTAAAGGGTCCATTAATATAGATGGTAAGATTTAAAAAGAATTTACCTGCTCCTTCTTCTGAATAGGCCATTCTTGAATATTTTGCATGCTTTGGCATAGAGAAAAGGGGCCACAATTGTACGTCATTGCTGAAAATACTACCTATAGAAGGCAGTACTTCCCAGTGACACTGTATAACTGGCAAAGCAGTGTTCGCTAAAATTATACTCTCATCTTAGAAATACTGTTTTCTTGATGAACTAGGGTTTGTGAAAATAATAGTGTGCAAACCGAAGACTTAATGTTATCAGGTGGAATAACATAGTCCACAATCATCTAACCTGTCTAAATTTACTGTCTTTCAGAGATGTCTGAGCAATTCTCTTTACCTCCTCTCACGTCTGCCAACCTCCAAATTCAGTTTCTAAATAAATATTGATTGATAGAAACACAAAATGGGTATTTAATCCAATTAAGAAGTCACAGCTTGAAGTACTTTATTAACAAAAGAATGATACATAAAGTTTATTACTTAACTAGTGACTTTAGAGGTCATTTCTCTGCCAGCCAAGTGCATAAAAAATTATAGGAAATTGTGTGATTAGCAGTGAAAGTGACATGATATAGTATGAGCCGTATTAGGTTTAACATTTAAATGCATTTAATGATAGACAGTAGTTGAATTTACTTTGTCCAAAATGCATGGTTTCTCAAAATAATATTTAAAATGCATACTTGTTTCATGTCATAGAAATTATTTTATCTAATGTGTTTTGTATCTTTGTTACCAGATTGATCTAAATCAAAGAATTTTACTTTTACTTCATGTTTTTAAGTATTTTGGTGGCTAAGTGGTGTTTCATTTTATTAAAAAATATATAGCAATGATCATTACTTCAGCATAGTTCTGATGATACAGACATTTTCAATGAAAGCCAGACAAAATAAATATGTTTATCAGTGATATTTTAGAAATGTGTTTCAAAACAACCTTTTACCTACCTTTCTTTTAAATAATAAAGATTTAAAACCACTACCAGTCACTATACTACAGTAAATATTTTTTGCTTTGAATTTTTGGGGAGGAGAAACAACAGCAATTTATTAGTAAAAACATATTTGATTTTCTTCAATTTATTCAAATAGGACTGTTAAACATAGTGTCCAACTTATACTTAGCCAGATTTACACACATACACACACACACACACACACACACACACACACACAGGCACACTCTCACAAATGTGAAGCTCTCTTTTCCCCTGTACATGGTCTGGATGAAATTGTTTGAAAAATGTCAATAATGAAGCCAGAGCCTCAGTGTAACCTAAATACGAACTTGTTGCTTTTGGAAAGATGGAAAATTAGCACCATTTTGTAGGACAGAGGAGTTAAATGAAGGAGGGTGATTCTTTTATTTCTGCTCTATAGAATGATGTACGCTAATCAGCAGGCAATGCCCTGTCAGTGAGCTAATTCAACTCTCTGCTAAAAGAAGTGTAGATTAATGGATAAAGGAGGTCTGTGGTAGGGTCACACTGATATGGATTCAACGTGTACAGCAGCTTGTCAGATGCCTGCTTGGATTAAATCTAACCTTTATTGTTGAAGGTTGCCATTTACCCTATTCTTTAGTGCCTCAATTTATTTTCTTCCCAGAATTTCCACATAAAAAAATTATCATCTATTTGCTTTTGAGAACAAATTTAGAGAGCTGGTTTCATTATCTGTAAGAAACCTGGAGGCACTAAATACTGAAAAACACAGAGAATATTTAAGGGACATATTAACTGATTTATTCCAATTCTCTATGAGAATGAGACTTAATTTTACAAAGAAAAGGCCAAGATAGTTATGTAAAATTATTTCAATTTAAGAAAACTTTGAACAAAGGACCTACTTCTTTTAGCAAAAGGAATCAGTTTTTTTAAAGATTTTTTAAAAACAATTAATAATGTAGAACCTGAAATTCTGAAAATTTGACTTATATCCAGCAAAATTACTTCCTGCTGTCATTTAAATTATGGCTGCCCTCTATAAAGGTGTCTTTAGGTGTATTAATTGAATTCCACACTATTTTCCAATAATAATCTGTAAAGTTCATCTGTCCATTCCTCACAGGATACCCACTGTGTATGAGAGAAAAACGTATCTATTTCAGTAGCTTAATTTATTTTCATGATTCACTGATAATGACTGTCATGCAGGTTGTACATCAGAATTAACCTTCATTTCACTGAGGTATATTACGATGACAGTCCACGACACATTTCACCTACACAAAGGGCATTTTCTTCCCTTTTTATAATCATCCTCAGTGGCTGAAGATTGTTTGATAGCCGATTAATTTTCGTAGGAAATCAAGTGCAGGCTCCCAAAGCAGAACTGGTAAGCGTTCTTTTGCTAAGTGACTTCAGCAGTAATTATGTATTTTTTTAATTGCATGCAGCAAACTTAAAATCCTCCATTTCTGCCTGATTTTATGACTAAACCTCTATTTTTATAAAAATACAGAACTTAATAAAAATTACCAAGATTAGGAGTCACTAATTTCTCAACAAGCCACTAAGTGACAGATATAAATTCACCTATTTGCTATGGTTTCAGTCAGATGATTTCATTGAGAGACTGGCATCATTTTGAGGCCGAGATCATTCTTGTCCCATTTTTCTAATTTCAAATACAACCTACAAGCTAAGATTCTCTATTGGCCACATCACTTTTCGATTCAAAGAAACAAAACAAAACAGGTTCTCTAACAAGCAAATTATATTCAATTCTATTGTTACAAATTGTGTGCCTTTGTAGAAAAAGCACAGTTTTGGATCAGTATTATTGGAGAGTAAAATTGTAGATTTTAATAGAGGATGGCAATGAATAGAGAAATTACCTGAAGAAATCCTTCTTTACGAAGTAGTGTATAAATCCTGCATGGTTTCATATTTATGGGATTAGTATGGAATTGGAACACTTTCCCTGTAGCAAGATGGAAGCAGAGAGAATGTATTCACTTTCTGCCTTCCTGATTCTGACACTAAAACTTTATTCAACCTCTTTCCTTCACCCAATTAATTTACAAAAATATTAATGTGCAAATAATCTACTTGACAAATGTAATACAAATCATGGGACCTCCATTAGAATATTACACACTTTTCCTGAAAATGGCACAAGTTACCAGGAAATTTTCTATCATAGTTCTGTTTTTTTTCACCTTATCTAATTAAGTAGATACATTTTTTTAAAAAAACAGTATTTGTTTTCAGCAGTTCTATTTTACATGGGTATTGTGTATTTTTACATCTTAATAATAAATCGATTCTTAAAATGAAAAAATCTATTTTGTTTTCGGTAGCTCAGAGATAGCATAGGTGCCATTCGTTGCTGCAGTTGCCATGCTGAGTGCTCATTTGTTATTGATTGGGGCTGTAAATAGTCATATAAAATTCACATAACAGATTAGGACCAGGTTACAGTTTTCCCATGAAGCTTGATGAGCTTCAACCTCATTTTTATACTCTGTGCTTTTTCTTTCATCAATGAGCTGTTTCAGGTATCATAGTCGGCTCTAGTTTCATCCTCTCTGTGAATGGTTGAAGACAGTCAAAAAGTCTCCATTATTCAATCAACTCTAAATAACGTTCTCTCATTTATATCCCCATTTTCCTACTTAAAATTATTAAAAGTACCCATATTTACTCCTTAGAAATCAAGAGAAGGAGTTTTGGCCTTCATCGGTTTATTTCAACTCTTTGTTAGAATGTAAAACCTGCAGCTGGCTTCTACTCTTTGGGAAAAATTTAGCTACTTAGGCTTGGGAAGACAAACTGCATTATACAGCATTGAATATGACTTATATGCAAAAATATTTTAAAAATCTGATGACCAGAAACAGATGCCTAATGTAAATAGATGAGAAAGATAATGACAATAAGTTCCAAAAATGTTTCTTAAAATTCTCAAAGTTGACATTTAAGTCTTTCATCTTTACATGATTCGTTCTATGAATCAGAGTTTGTTCTCTTGTAAACATTTTGGCAGAAATATTCCTTTCAGTTAGAAGGAAAACATCTCTCATGGCATTTTAGTTCAGTTCTGTCAGTTTTATCATCATGGTGACAGTAAAAAGAAAAATACATTATATCAAAAGCTGTCAGAACCTTGGAAATTATTACTGTCCCATTCAATGCTAAAATTCAATGGAGTATTGACTATTGTTTTTCCAAGGGAATCTATTTACTAATAATAAGGAGAACAAAGTGCTTAAGGAGAAATACAAAACATATAAGAATAAAACTCAAATTTCTTTTTCAAATTTTCTTTTACATGTAGGAATCAAAGAAGTGAAAGGCCAGCCTACCAATAGTTAAACGTAAGACCCTTTCTCGCGATCCTCCACTATGTATAGTTTGACAAGATTATTTGATGATATCTTCAGAAGTTTGACAACATTATTTGATGATATCTTCAGAAGTTTCTATTTTAAAAATGGTACATATATAAATATTGATTTACTGACTTGTAAATGGGCTTTAAAAGACAGAAGAAGGACGGAGATAAATGACAAGGGTGATAACATGTGGAGGCTGGGGGTTAAGATGATAATCTAAGAGATGTTAGTGCAACAAAGCAAATAAAGCCACAAACAAAAGATACAGCCAGCACTCCCAGTGTATTCTGATTATAATGGGGTCATGAACTATGATAGAATAACTGAGGTCCAAGACTGTCCTCTGTGGCAAAGTATGCCCTGGAGGTTGAACTGACACAAGGAAGGAAGGGAGGGAGGGAGGAAGGGAGGAAGTGAGGGAGGGAGGAAGGCAAGGAGGGAGGGAAGGAGGGAAGGAGGGAGAGAGGGAGGAAGGAAACTGGACAGAAATGTTCGGAAGTAGATAAGAGGAGAAGTGGGCAACAGGAAGGGAAACCAGGGGCACGTGGGCCCTTTGGATCCACAGCCTCTATTCTGATCTCAAACCCCAGCCTGTTACCTTATTTGTGAGAGCAGACAAGTGGCTGTGACAAAACGTAGCCTAATTTTCACTCATCCAATGTTTCGGAAATGATTTGTCTTGTATTAAGGTATCAACCTTCTATACCAAGTTAAGCTTATTTACCAAAGATTAGGGCAAAACAAAATGAGATAAAAATAAACACAAATATCCCCCTGTCCCTCTATCTTCTCTTATCCATTCTTCTGGCCACTTCCTCCCTCATTTATTTTTTCTCTCATGGAAAGATCTTGATGGCCTCTATACCTTGTGAGTTTGACTGGCCTAAGACATTTCCACATACAATTTGGCTTCTATGCAGAGGAAATGAAGTAATTATTAGATCTCCATAAAATCATAACTAAAGGCTTAAAAATTATAAAACCACAATCTGTATTAATCACTGGACCTAAGAAAGGTCCAGTTGAAAACAATACGAAATATAAGATTTTCGCAACATTTCAAAGCAATGCCTATTTAAAATTATAGTTTGCAAATTACAACCACTATCTCTGCTCTAAAATTTAAATATCTTAAAAACACGAGCGCCTTCAAAGTTGCCTTATGTTTTTATATTTGTAACTTAAGTAATATAAATCCACTGTCAAACTTAGTTAACATTTCAAAACCATACTCAATGATCCCTCTTTCCCTTCCTCCTTCTGTGTAACTATAAATCGACTGCTCCATCCATTCAGCCATCCATCATTCATCCATGCATTCATGTATCTATCCATCTGTATATCGATAATCGATCATGCCCAATTACTTGACAGAATTTTTCAGCAATTTTATTGTTAAAACTTTACTGATTTCTTTCTCATAAGCATATTACTCATATAGTTTGACATTACTGAAAAAACAGTGAGCTGTTATGAGTTGTTCTGCCTTATTTACAACACAGTAGGATATTAATATAAACTTAGCTGTTTGCTCCAATTATATATTATGACTAATTATTTGGAAAAATAATATTTCATTTTAGACTCCACTTGTAATTCAGAATATCATGTTCACAAAATACTCATGATATTGCCTTGTTATAAATCCTTACAATACTTTCTTAACATTCCTGTATGTTTCTACATGAAATTTTACAGTGAAGAAAGGCAAAATTCAATAAAAATCTCAAAAGCAAATGTGCTGCCATGGTGTTATTGACTTACAAATTTAAACTCTGAATTCCAGTAACAAAAAAAAATGCTTACTGGAAAATGTTTTTATGTATTTATCTGAGCACACCCAACTTTCACCTCCAATTGAAGCAGTTTCATTTACAAGTGTGCCGAATTCATTAAAATAAGCAAAACATATGCTTATTATCAAAAAATTGAAGACACAGTTTTTCAGTACAATTAATTATTGAATCCTCCAGTGATGACTTTCAGAATGACACTTCCATCTGGTGGTCCAAAGCTACATGACAAATTCTGTCATCAACAAAAGCAGAATAAAGTATGCTCTATTTTAAATTTGGCAATATTCTGATACAAATACATACAATTTATAATCTGTGGAATGTTAAAAAGTTATATTTTAATGGCAAGAAATAACCATATCACCTTTATATAATAATGATGCCATGAAATGTAATCCATAAAATACATTTACAATAGATTAAGTGGAATTTTCTCTTACTACTGATTTTCAGGATTAGACTAACATCTGCCTTGTAGTTATCAGGAATGCTACAGATTTTGCTACACGTATCTTATGTTTTAAGCATGTGACTTGATTTGTGTTCTATTAGAGTCCATAAAAGACTGAATTATTACACCTGTATATATTTCAGCTACTGCATAGGTTTTAGTTTAAATGAAACACATAGGTTTTCATTTAAATTGTTCAGTTAAAGATCGGCTTTTTGGTTTTATAGCACTATTTCAACTATGACTTTCATTGTCACTCATCTCAAATAATTTTAGCCACTATTTCCTTAAATTATTTGTTTCCATTTGTTATCATACCTGATATTAATTAGATAATCATGGGTTACCAAGTTTTATTATTTTGAAAAAAATCCTTCTGGAAATTTTTCAGATAGTGTAATAGGAAGGCAGGGGGCAAGAAGAATATTTAACAGTCATTCATATCTTAGCATGAATTAGCTTAATTAGGTTCATGGGTAGTGTTAGTATGGAACTAGATAGACATTAACTCATATTCTAGCAGTGCTGATAATAATGAGTTAACATTTATTGACTGCCTATAGGGTTCCAGGCACTGTGCTAATGCCTAGACATACAAATATTAACTCCTGTAGTCTTCGCCTTCATGTTAATGAGACTAAATTAGATCTGGGTGAAGGTAGAAGACAGGATGATATAGGACTGGATGTTGTTACTATGGACCATCTAGTGAGCCATACAGATGAGGACTCAAGCTGTTCTCTGCTACTGTTTGCCCCTGTGACCCAAGAAATGTACACACTGCTGTAGAAGTTTGGCATCTGCATTGGTAAAATGGGAATGAAAATATCTGTCCTGCAGAGTTTCAGGGAGGATTAAACGAACATAATGGGTGCTTAATCATGGTAGGTATTATTACGTGAACGTAGATAAGGACAGATTGATGGCAACGATATATATTTAAATATGATAAATGCAATGAAAATGTTTATGAACAAATTGGCAATATAAGAAAAAACCTAACTGTTTTGTTTCTTGTTGTAGCCGGTGAATATATTTTCAAGCAAGAAAAATATATGATTTAAGTTATATCTATTACAAGTAAATTTATCCATCTAACAATCTAAAGTACGATTATTCATTTTATTTCCTATTTTCAGTAGAATCCATCTCTCCTTTTATTATTAGCCAAGCTCATCTGGCTCTTGATAGATATAATCTCCTAACATGATGCAGAACAACACGAATTAGCCATAAGTGTTTATGGTAATAGTTGTGGATTACCTTTTATTGTCTAAGCCAACAAAAACAGCTTTTTTAAAAATCACAGTTTGTTACTCTGATTGTTGAAATTAAGAAAATGTTGCTTTCGTCAAGATATTTTGACCATATTATGGAAAAAAATAATAAAAATCTCTCCTTCACACTGCTATGTAAGAAATCAAATTATTTTTGACATCTCTAACAATGATGAGCAAACAAAGCATGTAGGTAATGATTGTATAACTTTCAGAAGTCGAAAAAGTTATTAGAACATTTAAAAAATGTCCTTCTTGACCCTAAGTACAATTGTTTTTGAGGGTAAAGCAAGAATGATATGAAGTGGGACTGATAATTTTGAATATTAATGTTTGCACCACAATTGAGTTAAAACAGTTAAAAGGTAGCCCCACTCCCAACCCCCAATGTGTCTGTGGTCTTCCAGGTAAGAGACAATAATGGTAATAAATTTGCTTAGTGGAAATGTTTTAAAAATACATTCTAGGATAAATTTTCACAAAAATCATTTTGAAGAAAGCCACGGAATTTTTTAAAATGTGTAACAACACTATTAATGTTGAAATACATGGCTATTAAGACAGGATTTTTTAAATTTTTTGGGGGGGTTGGAGTTTCACTCTTTTTGCCCAGGCTGGAGTGTAAAGGCACAATCTCGGCTCACCACAACCTCTGCCTCCCAGGTTTAAGTTCAAATGATTCTCCTGCCTCAGCCTCCTGAGTAGCTGGGATTACAGGCATGGGTCACCATGCCCAGCTAATTTTGTATTTTCAGTTGGTCTCCATGTTGGTCAGGCTGGTCTCAAACTCCCGACCTCAGGTGATCCGCTTGCCTCAGCCTCCCAAAGTGCTGGGATTACAGGCATGAGCCTAGCACCCAGCCTAGCAAACCATTTTTAATATAAGATGAAACCTTCTTTTTCTCAGTGTAGTATGTTAGTGTGTCTACAGTGAATACCTGGCTAGAAGACTGTCCAGAATGCCATATAATATAATGTTTGGTCACAATTCTTTGAGATAAATATTTCACAATTTTAATTCTGCTATTCTAAATACAATTATTTGATATACACTTTTAAAGAGTTGGAAAGGAGTTATCTGAAGTTAAGTAAAAGTTAACAGTTTTGAGAATGTTATTGCATAGAAAAATATGAATTTCTAATTCTATCAAGCTTTTGGAAAATTTAAAAATATGCCTTTCAAAGGCAGCACTAGATTTAGATTGAAATATAATTCATAAAATATTTTATTTATGTGTGTTAATGTTAAATTTCAGTAGTATTCTACACTAGCATAGTGCCTTACACACAGTAGATACTGGAAATTTTTAAACGTAATTCAGCTATTTTTCCTCAGTGCTATGTTGCTTTTCAAATACCTCGAATAGCTTGCAATTTGTCTCTTTTGTTAATTATATAATTTTAATCCATAAAATGAGTTGAACTTTTCTACACATTTATTGGACTAGATTTTTTACTTACTTTGCCATTTAGTATCCACTTTGACATATATAGGAATTCTGCTTACTTAGGAGATGGCTTGTCATAAAAAGGGAAGGAAAATCTGATCTAGTGTGCTAAAATAAAGGATAGATTCCACTGAATGTATTCCTAAATAAATTATTCATTTCAGGATGATACTATGTATTTTCATTCTAAAACATTTTATCTAACCCTCAATTCTGAGGTCATTCAAAATCTGTCTTGATAATGTTTATTCATATATTCATTTCTATGTGTGTATATAATATGGAAGATGAAATTTATATTACCATGAAATTTAAATCTAAGAAATTATGCCTTACAAAGTGACTAGAATTTTTGAGACAAGTTGGAAGTTCTGATTTCCTGGATAATAGCTGGTTTATTCTTAGAAGGAAAATAAAGCAATATATATTTGTGCCCCATCAAATATAGAATTATGGTCTCATTTTCTATTTTTCCATGTTTTCTCCATCAAAACAAAAAGCACTCCTATATAAATCCTAGAGGGCAGATATCAGTGGTTTCTAGCATGTGCTGCATATTATAAGGCATAAAACATAAGCTTTATCTGAAATCTGAATCTCCTGCTTAGTAGCTATGTGACCCTGGATGATTTCTTAACCATCCTGTAGGATGGGGATAATAATATCTAACTCACGGTTTTGTGGTTAATATTAAATACAATAATTCATGAAAAGTATTTAACACAGTGCCTGGCATGTAAATGGTAACTCATTATTTTTATTTGTCCATGACGCTAAAGAAAAAAGTTTAAAAAGATTAGATGCAGAAATACAAAACACAGAAACAAAACTCTTAAAATACTGCCAGCTCAAAGAAGAGTGTCCACTTAACATATTTGAAACAAATGTATTTTTTCTCAAAAAATCTAAATACTTGACTTGTTAGAACTGCAAATATATGTTAGATATGCTCTCAGATGTATTTTAGTCTTACTGATATATATTATTTTGAAAATATTTGCATAGCAATTCTATTTTTCACTTAAAGTAATTTAAACAGAATATATAAGTGTACCCATATTAAGGATATACACATATCATGCAGAAACAAACACACACACAAATACATACACACATATCTTACCACTGTTTGGGAACTGGAGAAAAAGAGTAGAGGAAAACAGAAATAATGATGTTTGCCACACTTGTGCTGTTAGTTAGTACAGGTATGAAAACAAGGAAAATGCTGCTGTGGCTGAAGTCATCAGGACAAAACATCTATATGTCTTTTTCCTTCAAATCTACATACATAGATATATTTATACTTTCATTTATGATACACATCTATGTATAGTTATACATGTCTACACATCAGAACTCCGTTTTAAAATTAAATGTACTTTAAGAGCAAGATCATTTCCATTTCCTAATGCTCAGGTATGCTAGCATTCATATTCAATGCTTCATCTTAATGAAACAAGGAAAAGATACAACCAAAGTACTATTCATGAGCAATTGGTTACTTAAACATATAATCTAAAAATAAATACGAGTATGGCTGGAGTTTTGTTGCTGTGTTTTGTATCTCTACAACTGATCTTTTTAAACATTTTTTTCCTTAGAAAAAAATGAAAGCAGTTGACAAATGAAAACAATAAGACTATCAATTATTTGTCAGCTAGAGTCAGTGGGTGAAAGAATATACCTTTGATATTTAAGAGTATTCATAAAAAGAGAGGTACAGTTAGAAGCTGGAACATTTCCCTTTCAAAACATAGAAATTATTATACACCTAAAAATCTAATATCAGAGAAAAGCCAAACCAACACAACAACAATGACATCTTGCACAATAAAAGTATACATCAGAAGTTTTTACAAAAACATACTTGAAATAAGTTTATCTTCTTTCTCTACTTCTGTTTTAACTTTGAGAACATAGAAAAGCAAGGGCGAATATTAGATTTGACATCTATTTACCAAACAATCATATTTTCACTAAAGTAAAGATATTTGAATAATGCAAGCTAAATTAAAATGCCTAAAAGATATCAGGTTAACAATATAAGTAATTATATAATGAAATGAATTTTTAAAAATTCAGGTTACTGTCATATACAGCTAAGACCACTAAAAAGTTGTATAGGAACAAGTGCACTCTCAACAGTTTTGATACATTTAGAAAACAAATACTGACATCTGATAAGTGGTTTTCAAACAAAATAGTTTGTTCATTCTCTTAAAATATATGACTGAAGAATTACTATAAAACATACATCCTGCCTAAAAACGTGCAAAACTGGGAACATTTAAATTAATACTAATGAGATAAACTATCTGCCTATTTCTGTTCACAACAGCTGCACATATTTTAAATGGCTCAATTAAAGTTTATTCAGACTAGATAATTAATCCAATGTGGAGAGTGATATCAGCATTAGATATTTTATACAATAAAATTTAAAATGAAACAAAAATTATTCTGGGAATATTTTCTCGAGGAATAAAAAGAGCAATTCAAAAACATCTAAATAATTAGAAAATATGCCTCACTTTTCATAATCTAAATGAGGTTTTTCTCAATTAGGAAATATTATACATCTATTTATTTGTATTCTTTCCTTTCCATTTTCAGGTTTTAAGAATGACTCATTGCTTAAGTCATTTAAGAATGACTAATTTACTTTTAATCCCCCTCTATTGGCATATTTAACTTTGTGCAGGTTACTTTATGTAGTTTTCAAACTCAAATTTGCTGTTTTGCCAAAAACACATGTATTTAGTCCCTTGCAACAGAACTGAACCGGAGTATGGATTTATTGAAAGTGAAATCTACAAAGCAAATATAGACAGGTGAGAGATGATATGCAGAAATATATAAAGAACATTATACATATATATCTCAGCAATTAGGTAAATTCAGAAAATTGCAGTTTGTTTTACATGAAAAAAATCTGATATTTTTCTGTTATGAATATATAATAGAAAATATGTAATAGAATTATGTTGAATTTTTAGCTGCAATATCTGAAATATAACAATAAAGCTGAAGAAATAATTTCAAATATGGAGAAAGATTTCTATTTATTTTATATTATTATTAATTTAATCTTATTCTAAGGGCAAACGATGAAACAGATAAATCCACACGTGTGTGTCTGTGTGTGTGTGAGAGAGACAGAGAGAGAGAGAGGAGTTTGGTTTGAAGTTAATTCATTATGAATTGTACGTGTGTTCTCTGATAGCCTAGAAACTCCACTACCACACCAGAAAGAGGACATAGAAAGAATTTGCAACAATCTTTTTAATTTAAGGAGTCAGTAATCTACTTAACTTAGCTGCCAAAAGCTGAATGCCTCTTTGGTTTTCCTGGACAGGATCCTACTATTCTTTCCTTATCATCTTTCATTTTGATCCACTGAGGGTTATTGGTAGTTAGAGGGTTCATCTCCCTGGGACGTGCCCCTCACTGCCAGTGCACAGGCCAGCCACCGACAATTGTCAGCCTACATGACATATGAATAGAACTTGAGCCACATCTCTCTCCATACTCCTCCTTTCTTTCTGGCTATGCATCAGGTTTCTGAGCTTGCAATTGCAGGGGTACTAATCCACAGAACTGAGTGAAACTCCTTTGTCTACCTCGGATGCCTTGGCAAATACAAAGAGGAATCACCAACATTTTTCATATTGTTTCCTAAAAAAAAAAAAAAAAAAGACAAGAATAAAATGGAAATAATATAAGGCCATCTCTTGAAAAAAAAAGTGCAAGTCAAAGTGGGTGTGCAGATACACTCTCAACAATATGTTAAATTTTACTCTTATAGTAAATTTTCACAGCATTGTTAAACATGCACTAAAATCACTCAGATTTTTGCTTGCTTAATAATTCCTAACTAAACTGTTCTAAAAAATGACACATGCATTTTTCTTTCATGAAGTTCCAATTTACAAAAAAAAAAAATCTGAGGAAGATGTGTCATGCTTTTTAAATTATAAAGAAGAAATTTTAATATATGAGATTATAATAAAAAGAAAACCACTTTGTATCTAATGCTCAGTGCATTTCTAGATCAGGTGTGCAAAAGGCTAACTTAATTAGCACAGTATAAATTAGAAAAAGTTAAAAATAAGAATAGATATTTTTGGCCATGTTTTTATGTAAAGGAAGAAAAACATGTGGTTCAGATCACCCTATCTCTAAAGGATTATTATAATACCATCTTTGTCATTGTCCTTTGCTGCAAACATAGTCTACATTTAATCTTGACCAAAATTAATTTTATCACCTATGTATTCATAGAGCATTTATTGCCACGCAAAATTTAATTTTGATGGAAATTATGAAGGGTATGTTTCATTATGCATATATCTATGAATATACACCTATATGTACACACATGTAGTTCATTATTCTTGACTGTGAGGGCTTATGACTATTGACGTTGTCAATTTTTATCTCATTACTCATCACTGCTTACTGTGGGTGCTAATAGTATATTTCCACAGAGTTTGTGTGTGCTGTAATGTAAATTCTGACATTGCTAGTGTCAGTCAGTAATCTACCTCATTCAGTTCATGTCAAGATGATACATCACAATGCTCAACAACTGTCATCTCAGCTTTAAATAGATCTATATTTTCTCAACTTTACAATTAGTTTTTTTGTTTAGTATCTAGTTACTTGTTTTAAAAAAATGAATAACTCATTCTAATATATTCAAAGCAATTGCTGATTTAAAATATTGCCTCTGAAAATTAAGCAAAAGGAATAGTTCTAAATTAATAATAAAATAACATTATAGAAAGAACATTGATTAAAACTTGCATTTAAAAAAATTTTAATCAGTTATATAGACTTTTAAATTTTACTTTAAGTGCATTTTAAAAGGATAATTTTTCAGTGTTTAAAAATATGTAAGTTAATTATGGTGGCACTATTTCAACTCCAACTTTTCCAGAGTTACACTGCCTGAGTATTTGGACATACTTCTGACTTTTTGCCATGCATTTTTCCTTCTGTTTTTTATTTATTTTTTTCTCTGTGCTCTCCTTTCATCTCCATTGTTAATATTTTTTTTCTTTTTCATTATCTTTTCTGTATCTTGTGCCTCTTCTTATGGCCTTTTTTTCTCTATTTTATTCTCCTGAGTTATATTTTCAATTGGCCTTACAATGAAAACTATTTTAAATTGATTCAATTAAGTGATTTGACTCTTTTTCTTCTTCAGCCTAGAAAATGGTGACTCCTACACTAGAAGGGTTTTGAGAAGCATGTCAGGAAGTTTTCTCTCCTTTTGCTTTGTCTGTATATAAACATCTCTGTGTCCTTTTAAATTTCATTCTTCTGACCTACTCAACCTTTCATATTGTTCTTTTTATTCCTATTATTCCAAACATTATAACTATCTCCTGTATCTATCAAACATTTTCAAAGGTCACTGAATTCCAATTTAAAAAATTATTCTGAATACTCACTATGGCAATTCCTTGAAATTAAAACAAAAATTTAGGAAAATATTTGAATAGCAAAATAACTGAACTGTTTTGATAACTACACTTATTATAATATTTCACTATTTGAAAATAAGGTATTTTGAATATGATGAAAGCAATTGCTAAAATTAGCTAAGACATCCACAGAAAAAAAGTAACTGACTTAATTTTGGAAAATCAACTAAACTATTTTGAGTTGACCCTTGAACAACATGTGAGTTTGAACTGCGTGGGTTCACTTACATGTTGATTTTTTTTCAACCAAATTGATCAGGATGAGAAACCTGCGTATAGGCGGAGGGCCGCCTTTTATTATCTGTGAGTTCCACAGGGTGGACTGCAGGACTTGAGGATACCCGGATTTGGGCATACGCAGGGGTCCTGTAACCAATCCCCCGCGTATACTGAGTGATTATTTATTTATTTATTTATTTATTTATTTATTTATTTATTTATTTATTCTTGAGACGGAGTCTCGCTCTGTCGCCCAGGCTGGAGTGCAGTGACGCGATTTCGGCTCACTGCAAGCTCCGCCTCCCGGGTTCACACCGTTCTCCTGCCTCAGCCTCCGGAGTAGCTGAGATTAAAGGCGCCCGCCAACACGCCCAGCTAATTTTTGTATTTTTAGTAGAGACGGGGTTTCACCGCTTTAGCCAAGATGGTCCCGATCTCCTGACCTCGTGATCCGCCCGCCTCGGCCTCCCAAAGTGCTGGGATTACAGGCGTGAGCCACTGCATCCGGCAACGAGTGACAATTTTATACAAGAAGCTACTTGAAGATGCTGAGGCCACCAGGACAATATGAGGGCAGTTTCTAAACAGCCAGCTACAGAAGAAGAATATTCTAATCTTTGCGTCTCCAAAGGAAATTCATAAAAATGTTCTCCTAAAATGAGTACACTAATAATATACTCAATTATACTGAATCTCATAAAAAGAAAAAAATATTGAAACGGAGTCTCACTCTGTCACCCAGGCTGTAGTGCTGTGACGCGATCTCGGCTCACTGCAACCTCTGCCTCCCGGGTTCCTGCTATTCTCCTGCCTCAGCCTCCAGGGTAGCTGGGATTACAGGCACGAGCCACCACGTCTGGCTAATTTTTGTAATATACTCAATTTTCAAATTCATGCTTTGTATAATTGTGGGTATATATGCAAACACCTAACATACAAGAGCCTTCTTAACTTCTTTTTGTCGCTAGTCTTCTCCACTACGGAAATGCATCTTCCCAGCATGCAACTTGAGTTCCCTCCATGCCTGTCAACTGAAGTTCATTTAAAAAATACGTTCCAGCCAGGCGTGGTGGCACGCGCCTGTAATCCCAGCTACTTGGGAGGCTGAGACATGAGAATTGCTTGAACCTGGGAGGTGGTGGTTGCAATGAGCTGAGATTGTGCCACTGCACTCCAGCCTGGGCAACAGAGCAAGACCTTGTCCCCCCGCCTCCAAAATGCTTTCCATAATCTATTTTTCTTAGCTAATACACAGGGGGAGTCAGGTACATATCCTTTGACTGCCGCAAAATAGAACTTTCAGTTCTTTGCCATTGTCCCTACTAGGTCCACCACTTTACATGTTGTTCTTCTCTCAACTTGGGTGTGTCCAAGCTCAGTCTCTCCATAAACAATCAACTTATTTAAAACTTGGATTTCAACTAACTAGAAGTAATATTTTCTTCCTCTGAACTTTAATAACACATTTATTTTGCAATTTTTTAATTTGTGTTTTTTTTGGTACATTTAATTTTCACTTAGAGTCGAGATGACACTCTCAGTTGCTTAAGTAAAAAGAGCCCCTTGTCCGATTGATCCCAATATTCATTTAGTTTCATTCTTCTGCATATGAATATCCAGTTTGCTCCGCATCATTTATTAAAAGAGACTATATTTTTCCTACTGAGTGTTCCTGGTGCCCTTGTCAAAAATCAGTATCATTGACTATAGATACGTTTATTAATTTCTGGATTCTGCATTTTGTTCTATTGGTCTATGTGTCTATTTTTACATCAGTGCCATGCTGTTTTGGTTACTTCACCTTTATAGCATATTTTGAAGTCTGGTAGTGTGATATCTCCAGCTTCGTTCTTTTTTGTTTAGAATTGCTTTGGCTATTTGGGGTCTTTTGTAGTTCCATACACATTTTAGTTTTCTGTTTTTTTCTATTTCTATAAAGAATGTCATTGGTGTTTTAATAGAGATTGCATTCCATCTGTAGACTGCTTTGGGCAGTATGGTCATTTTAACAATATTCTTCTGATCCAGGATCATGGGATGTCTTTCCAGTTGTTTGTATCCTCTTCAATTTCTTTTATCCATCTCTTGCAGTGTTTCTCGTAGAGGTCTTTCACATCCTTGGTTAAATTTATTTCCAGGTATTTTATCTCCTTTGTAGCTGTTATAAATGTGATTGCCTTCTTGGCTATTTTTTCTTTCAGGTAGCTTGTTGTTTGTCCCTGCAGACTTTTAATACAGGCACGGATTTGTTGCCTTAGTCCTGTGGTGGTACAAAGTCTGGGATATTTCTAGGATAAACAAAACCATGTTGGGTGTGAGGTGCAGTACTGAGAGAGTCTTTTTTTTTTTTTTCAAGGCATGGTTAGGTGTAAGAAAGACTCCGGGTGGGGCAGGGCTGGGGGATTAGATACTTCAGTGCTCCTGCCACCCTCTGTAATATAATGATGGACTCTGAGGAATGGCACTTCTGGCTTTTCTGGTGTTGGTTTACCATCCTGATTCTTATTTCCTCTATGTTGATCTGAGTGCTTCTTTTCTGCTTTTGTTTCGCCTTTGATTTCTCAAACCTGACCCTACTTATCTGATGAGGTCTGACTATTCCAATTGGTACAAAAAAGTCCAGATACTACTATCATCCATGTTTACAGTCAGACCATGATCTGTTTTTCTACAAGCAGCGCAAAGGTCATAGATTGGAGCAACCCTTTGCCTTGTATTCCACATCACAAACTCCACACCTTTCCCACATTACAGAGAAGACTTTCTTTTCTTTTGGAATAGAGACAATTTGATGGCATACTTTTTCCCTTGCCCCAACACTTTTAGAACTATGTTTTAAGCCTAGCGGAATTCACATTTTAACTACAGTAATTGTGTGCAGCACAAATAATGTTGCTGTGGATGGAGTTATGCGATGGTCATAATTTGTCCTGAAAAGTGTCAGATTTATTAGAACTTTCCCTGTTTATCTGGATTGTTAGCTAATGTTTCTATAATGGCTTTAATTGATGCTTTCCCCATATGTGTTATGTTTTTGGTTCTTAAGTTCTAAGCATGAGGAAGGAATCATGTCCCCTTTCCTCTATCACCTCTTCCATAAGGAACACTCAGGGAACCTGCAATGTGACCACTACCTCCTGGATCTCCTTTTTTTGTTATGATCTAGTACATGCATTACAAAAAAAAAAGGTATCTAAGTAACAGTTACGTCTATCTTCACTTTGTGAATGCAAAATATGACACATAGAACTGAGAGCCATTTATGGAATTGGTTAAACAACTTTGAAAAAAGCTTCTGAGATGGAGACACAGAAAATAGCATAACTTTATTGCAGTTGCCATTTTATGTACATGGAGAGACTGACATTCAAATAGGCACTTCTATTTCACCGATTCAAATGTGCCAGGTTGTAATCATAGACATAACTACTACATGGTTCTTTCTCCTTTTATTTTTTTGACAAAAATTACAAGAAAAATGCCTTACTGTTAAGGGTAGCTTATAATGTAAGAAAATAAATTTTTAAAAAGGAATTGTCAATAAAATTTTTTAAGAATAAGAGACAACAGAATTTATGTAGTGGATATTGAAATAGTAATGTAAACTAAAAATAAATTTTCTTTTTAAAATACCCTCTGGGACTAGGCGATAATTACCCCAATCCATTTTCCCATGACCTCTTAAAAGAGGGGGTTGTAACACTTGAAATATTCACTCCCAAATGTTTAATTCATATACTGAGTGACATGCTATTGATAAATGTTCTTCTAACCACTTCTGGTGATCAGGCATAGAAGGAACCTATACAATGGCGTATTGACTGTGCTCCCCAATGCAGAACCTGATCTTGGTGCCTCTAAAGAACTTCTAACTTTGGGCTGCAATAATAAAATTGATATTTTATTTCTCTCTTAGGCTACTATAAAGTATTTCTATGATACTGAGTACTTTGTGCAATTTTCCCCACTGGTTAGATTTTAGACATGGATCAAGTGATGTTTTTATGTAGTTGATATTAAAAGTATATAAATATTATACACTCAAAGCATACCACTAACGTCATATTTCACCAATCATCAAGAACAATAATCAGAACCGACTAGGTTGCCATTATCAAGGACCCACTATTAGACGTGAATTTATAATGAACATATGCCTACCTGAATTATAATCAATTTTATATACAAATTTAAGTGTAGAAGCAAGACAACATAGATACTTCAAAGCAAAAATCTAGTTATGGTTGTGGTATTAATGTACCCATGGAAAAAAGACATAAATACCCTGGTAACTGTTATGGTGCCTGGCTTCTTTGTTCTTTGGTATTCCCAACTATAGTTAGCCATCATACTCATAGGTCAATGTACAAAGGCAGTCTTTAACACAAACATTTGGTGCATCCATGTCTGGTACTCAGTAAAAAGCATCTGATAAGAAATTTCTAGATGAATTTCACAATTGTGAAGACTCCAGAGCAAGAAGAAAAAACTCTGGGTAAATTGGTGAAAACTTAACCAAAATTATACTTTGTAAAAGTATCCTTTGTAAAAGCATTTACCCTTAAGGTTTTGAAATATTTTTGCAAGTTAAATGGTCATGTATAATTTTAATTAAGATTTTAAAAGAATTTTTCTGGTGTATTCTTGAATAAAACAAAATCCCTAATACTTGGAATATAGCTTGTGCTGATCATCATAACTCATTACTTTGGTGAATGAAGCACTCTAATAATAGTGTTAGGGTTTCAATGTATAACCAATTCAGCAAAAGATTTCACAGGCAACTCTAACAAGACTGCACAGTGAAGATGTACGTTTATCCTTTATTTAGAATGACAAAATCTTAAACATATCTTTCAATACTGTCCCTCTTTTTTTCACAAAGATACACTATATATCAGTAATCTGGACACCAAGTTATTTACAGCTATTATTTAGTACCATAGTAAGTAGTAATTTAAATACAAGGTAAAATCACCACATTGTCTTGTTTACTACTGATGTTAATTTTAAGCTGACATTCGATGCTCCCAAAAAAGGCAGCCTATGATTTGTTATCATTAAACTGTCAACTCTGCCTTGAGTTGGAAAAAGATTCACACTACACTTTTTACAGAATATCACTTTATTTTCTATCCGTCAAAAAAAAAAAAAAATCCAGAATCGTTTTAATTGTGTCTGTGCTATTTTTCTATTAACTGTTTCATGCATTTTTCCTGGCCTTTTAATTGCAGTTTAATAGTGGTCATTAACACATTAAGGGGTGTTAGAAGAACACTTGAAGTCCTCTTGACTTCTACCAAAGTTGACACTTCAATGTTAGAGTAATTTCAGCTATTCATTTATTTAATAGTGACCTATGCAAATGTAGAACCATGTCATTTTACAAATTGACTGTAATAATTAACTAGAAAGGCAGAGTAAAATGAAACAGGTTATAATTAGAATATAACTGCTACAGTATTACGTCAGCTAGAATAAAATAATCTCAAATGATTAAATTGGTTTCAATTATTAAGAATCAGTTTAATGTACCCACTGTTCTGATTTTTACATTTCTCTTTTTTGTGTGCATTAGATGTCACCTCATGCAATTTATGTATTTTATTCATCTTGGTAAAACAGGCATTACAGAAGTTTAATTAAGTAGTAAAAGACTTCACATTATTCTGCTGAATTCTAAATTAGTTGTAGAAACTAGTCAGAGTGCATGCTACAGACTATGCAGGATCATTTCAATTAACTGTATCTATTAAACCACCCAACATTCCCCTTACACAGTAAATATATGTAACATGTCACTAGCCATCAGAGTATGTATGTAACCACATAATTATCATTACTTCCCCAATTGGATCTTGGATGCATCATCTTCATCTATATCACTATTTTTTAACATAGTAACTGAGCCATCTTTCCAAAACCCCAAGAATTCTCTATATTCATGACTCAGAGACACTTGGAGGCAGGGTGTGTGACACATGTAATAGCAGAGAGAACCCCCACTCAGAAGGGCTTTGTACTTGGTTCTATCTTCTGCTCTTACTGTACTCTTAAAATTCTTAAAATTGATGAATAAGAAACCCTGCATTTTCATTTTACACTAGGCCCTACAAATTATGCAGCCACTTCTGCCCAAGAAATCTAATAGAGATACCTAACGACTTACTCCTTTTTGGTCAAATATTAAACATTTTACTAATCATTTACCTGATTGTTAGAGATTAACTCTCTCTGAAGTTTAACTCAGAAAATTTTCCTAAGAGGGCAGTGTGGATAAAGAGGGCATCTGTCTAGCTAGTTAAAATTGGCCAACAACCTTGGCAATCAGTGGAGCCCACATAATCACAGCCGGATCATTTTCTTGTACATACACTATGTTTTAATCAACATCTTCATATCCCAGTATTGGTTGACTTATTCATTTCTTAGCAAAACAAGAAAGTTCTGTAACAATAGTGCTAAAGTCAAAAGAGTATTTGAAATATGTTCAGATCATATGACTACCTGTGTCACTGTTGAGACAAACTGGTTTCTAGTCAATACATATCTCAAATTTCTGAAATATCTTTCCTCTCATAAGAATCTAAGGTGATATCTTGGTGGTTATAAATCCAATTAACAAAGAGAAACCCTGGAATCCTCAACATTTGGTTATTCTTGTCTCAAAATCTGAATTTTTATATATACCTAAATACTTTTTCTATAAGGGTATGTTTTGATATCATGTTTCTCTCTTCTATTACATCTTCATTTATTCTAGTTTATTCTGACAGCTTTAACACTTTGATCAGTAATTCTGGAAGTACAATCAAGGAACTTCATGTCTCATGATCAACTAGAGTACTAGTTAAAAATGTAAATCACGGCCGGGCACGGTGGCTCACACCTGTAATCCCAGCACTTTGGGAGGCCAAGGCGGGCGGATCATGAGGTCAAGAGATCGAGACCATCCTGGCCAACATGGTGAAACCCAATCTCTACTAAAAATACAAAAATTAGCTGGGCATGGTAGCATGCGCCTGTAGTCCCAGTTACTTGGGAGGCTGAGGCAGGAGAATCACTTGAACCTGGGAGGGGGAGGTTGCAGTGAGCTGAGATTGCGCCACTGTACTCCATGCACTCCAGCCTGGCAACAGAGTGAGACTCCATCGCAAAAACAAACAGACAAACAAACAAACAAACAAACAAGCAAATCACTACTAAATCAAAGTATTATTAATTTTTTCACTTTTGTATAAGTTTTTTTTTTTGTTGTTGTTAGTTTAGAAGTTTCTTGGGTACATATTAGTACTGTCCCATAACCTGGCGGGATAGTTAGCATGCACATCTGGCTTCTGTGCCACGAAGAACTCTCGTTACAACACCAAGACAGAGATTGACAAGCATAAAGGCAAAGTCCTTTTACTTTTTCTAACGCAGTATTACTCCATTCCTTGCTGGAGTCCAAGGATACTTCCAATAGTTAGAACTCATAGTCCATAACCTTCCCACCCATGTTAGAATAAATGAAACTTTCAGCCCATTTTAATGCTGAATAAAGCGAGATTTTAAAAAGTAGACAAAATCATATGGGTGATTTCTATGAGTTTAGAGAACTATAAATAAGCTATCAGAAAATGATAATCTGGTATCTGGATATTCTGTGAAACAGTTTTAAGAACTAAGGGTGACACAGAACTAACTAAACATTCCAGAGATTGGGTGAAAATTAGCATATATCTCTTATACGGGTTTTAAAAAATTTATCCCCAAAGATTTTACACTTGATCTTAGCCAAAGGCCAAAAAGCAACTGTCCCCAAAGATTTTAATTTTGATTTATAAGTTATAAATCTGGAGAAAACCTCAAACACAATCCAAAATCAAACTGATTCATGAAAATAGTGTCCTAAGAACTTAGATCCCATTGTCAAATAAATTGACTTACTTTTACTATACTTGGAGACCAAAACATTGTCTGTCACCTGCACTATTGTAATTGGCCAATTCAATCAAATACATCAATTCAAAAATTTTTAACAGTAACCCTTCCCACCTTTTAACAATCATGCAAAAAATAACTTATCCAAACTGGTTTTATGACTGATTTAATTATTCTTTTATCTGTTCAGGCTGAATACTGATTCAAAAATACAATATACTCAGGGCATCATGAGGTCAAACTGGTAAAAAGAGAAAATACTTATTCTAAAAAGAATAGCAATAATTAAAAAAAACAGAATTTGAAAGAATGCCTTGAGCTTCAAAACCACTTCTATTTTTTCCAAATGGAATTAGAGTTCTTTATTATAATGTAATTGTAATTAATATTGTGCAGTTGTAATAATATAATTATTATTAATTACATTTTCTAAATGTAATTAAAATCCATTGCTTGGAACAAAGGCAATCACTGGATTACAATTATCTGTATTTCTAAAAGAAACAATTAATATGGCAGGTTTCTGTTACATAGTACAAATAACCAGATACTGTGTGTCTTATAATTATTAATTCATATACCTGGAACAATAGTAAACACAGGTAATATATGCATATTTTATTCTAGAAGGCAATATTTAAAAATCTGCTTTTAATATATTTGTAATTTAGTTTGTGATAAAAAACACTGTACATTTAGATTCATTTCTATATTTATGTGTGACATCTTGAATGACACTTATTTAACTTTTCAGAACCATATATATCATAATATATCACAAACAGCATCATTAACATTTCAAATAGGGGTTACTTCTGTATTCATAAGTTAGAATTTAATAGTAGATTAAATATAATTGCACACACATACTCATAATAGTGTTACAGAGTTGTCAATTAAATGTTATTAACAGGAGGTTAAATTTTCCATGAGTTCAGAGACAACGTTGAGTTTCAAATTCCAAGGTTTACACTAATATCACTCATATGATTTAGTCTACTTTTTAAAATCTTGCTTTATTCAGCATTAAAATGGGCTGAAAGTCTCATTTATTCTAACACGGGTGGGAAGATTATGGACTATCTTCAAGATTAATATCAAATGGTAAAAGATTGTTACTTTGAATTGCTGACAGAATACTTCATTTTTTGTTTCCATAATAGCTGATATAAATAACTGGGCCCCCCAAAAAAATGAGAAAGAAGACAAACTAAAGAGCAGGCAGTCTTTTTTCATAATACCTTCTCTAGCTTTCACTGTGGCTGACTGTCTTTTAATGATTCTCTATTCAGGTGTTAGCTCTTAATGAAGCTATTATTGTAGAAAATATATTCATATTGATGGAGGGCCAAAAAGCCTTCTCGCTTCAGGTTTCATTTTTTTTTAATTAAGAACTAAAGAAAAAAGATATCTTAAACAAATCTAACCTGACTAAAGCTTCAGTCTTGGCATAATGCTGTATAAAGGGAAAGGATCCAATAACCAAAAACCTAAAAATAATTATTTAAAATCTTCATTCTGTGTCTCCAAATGGCAAAGGGAAAAATGAATTATTGACATTTGGTAAAGGTATAGAAAATTTTCTCTCCTTGTTGCTTCCCCTATTAATTTACTTCACAGGTATGCCAACTGCTCTCAGAAACCTTTCTATTGGCCGGGTGTGGTGGCTCATGCCTGTAATCCCAGCACTTTGGGAGGCCGAGGCAGACAGATCACAAGGTCAGGAGTTAGAGACCAGCCTGGCCAATATGGTGAAACCCTGTCTCCACAAAAAATGCAAAAATTAGCTGGCTGTGGTGGCTTGCACCTGTAGTCCCAGCTACTTGGGAGGCTGAGGCAGAAGAATTGCTTGAACCCGGGAGGCAGAGGTTGCAGTGAGATGAGATAGTGCCACTGCACTCCAGCCTGGGTGACAGAGTGAGACTGTGTCAAAAAAAAGAAGAAAGAAAGAAAGAAAGAAAGAAAGAAAGAAAGAAAGAAAGAAAGAAAGGAAGGAAGGAAGGAAGGAAGGAAGGAAGGAAGGAAGGAAGGAAGGAAGGAAGGAAGGAAGAGAAACCTTTCTGTCTCTAAGTTTTGACTGGCGCACCATCCAGCCCAATGCAGCTGTAACAGTAACTTCCTACCCACTCACTCTATTATGTAGATTATACAGATCAATTTCATCTTTACGGGTTGCCCCCCTTCAGAGTCATTACATTATACAAATTCTCCACGACAAAAAAATATCCAAAGAACTCACCCAGTCAAAGAAAATCCTATTTCTTTTTTTTTTTTTTTTTTTTTTTTTTTTGAGACGGAGTCTCGCTGTCGCCCAGGCTGGAGTGCAGTGGCGCAATCTCGGCTCACTGCAGCCTCCGCCCCCTGGGGTTCACGCCATTCTCCTGCCTCAGCCTCCCGAGTAGCTGGGACTACAGGCGCCCGCCACCTCGCCCGGCTAATTTTTTGTATTTTCAGTAGAGACGGGGTTTCACCGTGTTAGCCAGGATGGTCTCGATCTCCTGACCTCGTGATCCGCCCGTCTCGGCCTCCCAAAGTGCTGGGATTACAGGCGTGAGCCACCGCGCCCGGCCAAAATCCTATTTCTTAAAGGTGGTGGTGGCGGTGGAGGAAGGGAGTGGTTAGTTGTGAATAACATGTAAATAAGTTCATCTACATAAGAATTTTCCTGCTGGTTGATAAATATTTTATAGCTCCACAAAAAGTGCCCCAGATATTTATTTCTCATCTTACTCTCTGCTACCTATCCCTCTGCTGATGCTTCATAAGTGAATTTGGTTTGTACTCTCCTAGCTCTTTTACGAAAACCTGGACTTGAAAAGCAGACATGCTCCACGATATTTGCACTGGTCATGTGTGGAGGGAATGTTCATCAATTAAGTACCCCACAGCCACCCACTGCCAGATGATGCAAAAGTGGCACTGTCACAAATTATCAAATGGGGTATTTGGATAAACTTACTGGAGTCACTAAATTTGCCACTCTTTTACTGGGGAACACAAAACACAAGAGGCTGGGTGGCTGAACGGTAACATTGATTTGCCTGTAACTGGCCAGTAATGGAGAGCAAATAGGTGTCTCATCTGTGCCTGAACTACTCTACTTGGGGTGGGGTTTTCTTGAAGAGAAATAAGGAACCCATTTGCTTCTATTCACCAGGTCCTTCTCTATGGGAATTTCAACTTCATAAGGCAAAAATATAACTGCTTCAGTTCTGGTCTGGATTTTATTATTTTATCTTTAATTAGTATTTCAGCTTCTTACTTTTCTCATGCTAAGGGAACTTTACAAAAAACAAAGATTCAGGAATCCCTTCTGGCATTGAAGAAGTCTATGATCCTTCAAATAAATTTGAAATTTGATCCAGAGAAAAAGGACAGTTTATCATGCATGCACAGCAACAGCAGTAGCTAGAGTATCAGTATTTATGCCAACTACCCAAGTTCCATTTTCCAGAGTAACCAAAAGAGAGTCAGATGATACCTGGACATGCAGTTGGGAGCATTACAGGAGAGAAATCCTGAGCTAGCAGAGCTCATATCTTTTTTAATGGGAAGTAAGTGTACCTGATCTTGCTCCAGAGGGAGACACTATTTTTATGGCAATGGACAGTAAACAAACCAGCCCTTTGCTCCAGAGAAAGATGCTATCTCTCTTTTCAAAGGTTGTTCATCTTACAAACATTCTTGAGATAGTCTGGAATAAAGGCAGACAGTGTCTCTATTCACAAGACATGCCCAAACACAAAAGCCCATGGACGGTTGTCTCACAATCGAATTCTTCTCTTTTTTGATATATAAATATTGTTCCTACCTCTCTTCATTTTTCATACTTCTCAATTCCTTCACATTGCTATGTTTTCCTCAGGAGTATGTTTACTTTTGGCATTATGGTGTCTCTTCTTAAGAAAAACACATAAATTACCATATTATATTAATTTTTCATAAAAATAAAATGTTATGATTAAAAGTACATGTGTGTATATGACATATATACAGTATTATGTACATATCATCCACATAAAAATGAGCAACTAATTTATAATCATATTGCATTTTTTATATGGTGTAAAAAATGATTTCTTCAATATGCATGTTCTCCATCTATCAAGTTCCACATAAAAACATTGCATGAATAGTAAAATGAAATTGAGATATTCCTCACAAAGAAATACTGAAAGTGTTATTCATACCGTGGTAGTATTTTCTTATGAGTATGGTGGACAAAAATGAGAAGAAATAAGAGCAAACCTAGTTTATATGGATATGCATTTCCAAATCAAGTTTATCAAGAACTTACTGATTAAAACAAAGATGCAGTCAGAGTTAATTTTGAATACATGCTCATAATAGAATTCCATATCTCCTGTGATGTAGTTGTGGCATTATGTTCCCTTGTGAGGTGATTACAGAGGTAAGGTGGAAATGAAGAGTGTTAAAGGGTATAATGGCATCTGAAAGGCCAAGAATGCTGTTGTCAAAGCTGAAACTGAAACACATCCTCTTTAAAGGGTCTCCTTTTCTCAGGCATAATTCTGATACTAATAGTGAATGGGATGTAGCTGTATTTTGCCAGTTGAATAGCAAAGAAAGTCTTTGAACAGCAAAGACTCTAGGGTGGGTTGGATTTTGGTCCTGCACCCCTGCTAGTTCTTTCTGTTTCAAATTCACATTAATCTTCTTAATTACCCATGTAATTAAAAGAATCATAATGTGGCAGATCCAAATGTAGTTTGAAGTGATTAAATAAATAAAATAATTTATATTGTTACATTTTATAAACAAAACAAAATAATAGAAGAGGAAACATTTTAATTATCGCTAACACTCAATTAACTGGAATTTTTAAAAGCAAATAACTCAGGTTTGCTGATCATCTTTTCTGAAGTAAACAAAAATCCTGTTCTGCTTTTGTTGATCAGTTATGTCTAATTAAGAGCAGTTTTGGTCAAAACTATTTTTGGTAATATTACCACAACCATCATGGGTTTGAATGAAGATTTTCCTGGTTGTGTTAGTCATTCTCCCCTCAAGGAAAGGCACAGAGAATTACTTTATTTAATAGGAGGAACATACTTGCATTTCAAAATGAATTGACAAATGTTTATTGAATGTTCATTATGCTTTTTCTTTATGAATATCTACAAGAAAATGTGAATAATGCTATTATATCTCTCCATCAGTTCTAGTCACCAGCTAATGCAGATGGAAAGGGAAATACAGGGCCACAGAAGGAGATTGAAAAGCACCGGCCTAAGCAACTTTGGAAAATGGACACACCCATATTCACACCACCACAACCGAAGAATAGAGTGTTCCTATCACCCGGAAAAGTTCCTTCATTCTCTTTTGCAGCCAATCACCCTCATTCAACCCCTGGCTCTCAGCAACCACTGATCTAATTTGAGTTGCCATAGATTATTTTGCTTATTTTGGAATTTCATCTCAGGGAACCATACTGTGTGCATTCTTTCATGTCTGGCTTCTTTTGATTAGCTTAGTTTGTTTTTTTGTTTGTTTGTTTAGACTCATCCAAGAGTAGTGGCTAATCTTATATTTTATTTATTTTTATCACTGAGTAATATCTCCTTATATGAATATATTAATAAGTCAACATTTAATAATGCATTCACTTTTTGATGGGTGTTTAAATTGTTTCCAATGTGGGGCAATTTGAACAAATATGCTATGAACACTTTTGTACGTGTCTTTTTGTGGGCTTAGGTTTTAGGTTTTATAGTAAATAGCCAGGAATGCAATTCCTGAGTTATATGGTACATATACATTTAACTTTACAAGAAAGTGTCCAAAGTTGCTGTATTATTTACACTGGGAGCTGCTATGTATGAGAGTTCTCATTGTTCTCCATCCTTGCCAAAACTTGAGATTGTCAGGTCATTTTAATTTAGCCACTATAATGGGTATGTAGGGCTATCTCAATGTGGTTTAATTTGCATTTCTCAGATGACTAAATATGATGAATATCTTTCCATATGCTTATTTGACATTTGTATTCTTTTGTGAGCATCTGTTCAAACGTTTAGTTTATTTTTAAATAGTATTTTTTTTAAAATTATTGAGTTGTAAAGTATTTTTTTAAATGTATATTCTGGACACAAACTCTTTGTCAGATGTATGTATTAAAAATATACACTCCCAGACATTATGCTAAGTGAAGTAAGCCAGGGACAGAAGGACAAATACTGCGTGATGTCACATGTAGAATCTAAAACAATTGAACTCAGAAGCAGAGAGTGGAATGGTGGTTATGGGAAGCCGGGGAAGTAGAGGGAATGGAGAGATGCTGATTAAAGGGTACAGAGTTTCACTTAGAGAGGAGAAATAAAGTTTTTTGAGATCTATTGCACAGCATGGGGACTGTAGTTAACAATAATGTATTGTATATTTCAAAATTGCTAAGAAAGTAAATTTCAAATGTTTTCACCACAAAAAAGATAGGTATTTGAAGTGATAGTACGTTAATTAGCTTGACGGAATCATCTCATTGTATGCATATATCATAACATCACTATGTACCCCACAACTTTATGTAATTATAAATTGCCAATTCACAATGTGATATAAAAAATAAATATACTCTCCCACTCTTTGGCTTGCCTTTCATTTTCTAAGACATTTTTGTGAAGAGCAGATTTTAAAAATTTTGTGAAGTTCAATTTACTAATTTTGTGTGGTTAATGCTGTTCATGCCCTTTATAAAATTTTTTTCTACTCAAATATCAAAAGATTTCTTCCATATTTATTCTAGAGTCTAATAGTTTTAATTTTTGTATTTAGGTATGTAATTCATGTCAAATTAATTTTTCATTTGGTAAAAGAGCTGATATATTTTTATTTCTATATATTTATTTGCTTTATCAATATTTGTTTTAAAATATTCTCTGAATCATTATTATTAATTATTATTATTATTATTACTTGATACAGGGTCTCACTCTGTCACCCAGACTGGAGTGCAGTGGTGTGAACACAGCTCACCGCAGCCTGGACCTCCCAGGCTCATGAGATTCTTCCACCTCAGCCTCTTGAAGCTGGGACTATAGGCCTGAACCACGTATGTATTACGCCCGGCTAATACATATCTTTTAAATTTTTTTTAGAGACAGAGTCTCCCTATGTTGCCCAGGCTGATCTCAAACTCCTGGGCTCCTGCGTTGGCCTTCCAAAGTGCTAGGACTGCAGGAGTGAGCCATCACGCCTTGAACTGATTTGACAACTTTTTCAACAATCAGTTGATTGGATAATTGTGGGTCTGTTTTGAGCTTTTTTTTTTTTCAAATTGAACTACCTACTTATCCTAACCATTAACACGCTATGTCAATTACTTTAACTCTAAGAACACCTTTTTTTTTTTCTATTTGAGATTCTTTGCTTTTCCTAATAAATTTGAAATCAGCTTTTCCAATACTACAAAAAAAAAAAAAAGACTACTGGAATTATGACTAGGATTGCACTGAACTTGCAGGACAATTTGAGGAGAACTTCAATGCTAATTGTATTGTCTTTCAATTCATAAACATTATTTAACTATCTAGTAATATCTTTAATTTCTCTCAACAGTATTTTCTAACTATAAATTTACAGGTCTTCTAAGTATTTTGAAAAAATTATAATGAAATATTTTATGTTTTTAGTGCTATTGTAAATTATATTTTTGAGATTAATTTTTCAGTTGTTTATTTCTAGTATATAGAAATCCAATTGAATTCTGTATTCATTTTGTATCCCATGACCTTGATAAATTTACTTTTGAGTTATGTTTTATCCCCCTAGATTATGTGGTCATAGAAATAAATCATCATGTAATTTCTAAATTAAGGCAGTTTTGCTTCTCCTTGTGAATATATGTGACTTATATATTTTTCTTGCCTTATTTAACCAGCAAGCTTCCCTAATACCATGATGAGGTAAGAGCAGGCATCCTTACCTTGTTTCTGATATTAATGGAGACACATTCTTTGTTTTAGAATTAATTATAAAAGTAAATGTAGGTTTTCAATAGATGTTTTTCACTGAGTTTAAAGAGCTAATTTCTGTTTCTAGTATACCAAGTTTTTAATCAATGGATGTCAAATATTATCAAACACATTTTTTACAATGATTAGATTATAGCTTTTTCTTTTTTGTAATTTGGTGATTTTCACTAATAGATATTTGAAGGAAAAACTAAGTTACATGCTTGGAATTAATTCTACTAGGTTAGGATGTATATATTTCTTTCACCATTAGGCTGGATTCCATTAGCTATTATTTTGTTCAGGATTTATTGTTTTTTTTTTTTTTTTGTCTCTTTTTGCTTTGGTTTGGGTTTTGTGTTTTGGTTTGATTTTGCTATCAGGGTAATGCCAACTTCATAAACTGAGTTGAAAGGTGTTCACTTCCTACTTTTGTGAAAGATTTAGTTTAAAATTACTTAATTTCTTATTTAAATATCTAATAAAATGGAGCAGTAAAGTCTTCTGAGCTTTGCATTATTATATGACATATTTTAAATTGCAAATTTAATTTATTTAACAGGTATAAAGCTATTCCAATTTTTAAAGTCTTCCTATTTTAGTTTCTACCTTAGAAAGAATTTGTCAAGTTTGTTGTTACCAAATTTCTTCATGCAAAATTGTTCATAATATTACTTGTTATGTTTATGATTTCTGTAGTATCTATAGTGATATCTTCTATTACATTCCTAATATGCATCATTTTTGTTTTCTCCTTTATTTTAGTCTAGCTACTTGTGTATCCTTTTTATTGATTTTTATGGATCATTTAAAAGACGTACTGGATGAATTGGTGTTCTCTATTGTTTCTCTGTTTTTTATGTCCTTGAATGTCCACTCTTTCTATTTATTTCTACTTTCTCTTATTTACCTTGTGTTTGCTTTTTTCCTCTAGCTTCTTAATATAAAAGATTAACTCATTGATTTTAAACATCTTTGTAAAAATGAGCATTTAAATTTATAAATTATCCTGTAAGTATTGCTTTACCTAACTCCCACAAATTATTAATATTATTTTTTTCTTTCATTTAGTTTTAAATACTCTCTTATTTTCTCAGGAATATTTAGAATTTTTTAATTTAATAATTTGAAGATTTTCAAAAAATATTTCTATAACCTAATATCAGAATTGACATGTCTGACTTACATTTTTATTACACATACCATCTCTAGTACAATGTTAGAATGGACTCAAAAGAATATGAATTTCAGGAAGTGGAGGTCATTGAAGGCTGTCTTAGAGACTGGTTACCATAGGTGCGTACATATTTAGTGTTATATCTTTTGGATGAACTAATGTTTTGTCCTTATATAGTATGTTTCTTTATCACTGAAAGTATTTCTTTTTCTAAATTCTACTTTGTCTGATACTAATATGGCTACTCTAGCTCTTTCATAATTAGTGTTTTTATCTTACACATTTTTTCTTACTTTTCATTTAACCTGTGTTTTTGCATTTAAATCAAGTTTCTTATGGACATCATAAAATAGGGTCTTAATTTTTAATTCAGTTTGTTTAGACAATTTACATTTAATTCAATTATTCATGTGATTAAAGTTAAGTCTACAATGTTGTTGTTTTCTATTAGTATTCCTACTCTTTGCACATTTTCTATATTTTTTCTTGCCTTCTTTATTAATGCTAATTTTTTAGTTTTTTATTTTATCTGCACTATTGTCTTTAACTTAGAGTCCATCTCCATATATAAAATACTACTGCACATATAATGCACAAGTCTTTCTAGTCCCCAATCCTCTATTTTATGCTATCGTTTCATGCATTTTACTTCTCTATATATTACTAACAATTCCCTTTTAAAGGTAATTACCTTTTAAAGTAATTTAAAATGAGAAAGAAAATACTTTTTTTATATTTCACATTTAATATTTCTGGTAGTCTCCATTCCCTCTGTGTGGATTTAAGTTTCTGTTTGGATAATTTTCCTTCAGTTTAAAGAACTTCTTTTATCTTGTTGTTGTTGTTGTGTATGTCTACTGAAAGGTAATTATTTCAGCTATGTTTGGTTAAAAAATGTTTTTATTTTGCTTTTACTTTTGAATGATATATATTCATTAGTTATAAATTCCAAGTTGATAAGTTTATTTCCCCTTTTAGCACACTAATGATGTCATATTGAATTATTTTCTAACTTGCATTGTTTCCTTGAAATATCAGTAGTGCTTATTATCTTTACTCCTCTGTTTGTAATGTGTCTTTTTATCCTTGATGATTTTAGAATAGTCTCTCCATTAATTACTTTTAGCATCTTGTTTATGATAAACCTTGATGTAGAATTATTTGTCTTTATTCTGTTTGGAATTTGGTTAGTTTTTTGTATCTGTGAGTTTGTTGGCTTTATCAAATTTGTTAAATATTTGGTTATTATTTATTCAAATACATTGTTTAATATTAATCCAAAGTCACCTAGACCTTGTTTATTTTTCAGCTTTATTCTCTCTGTACCTCATTTTGCGCAGTTTCCCTTGCTATGTCTTTAATAATATTTGATCTGTTTAATTTGTTGCATGTCCAGTAACTATTTCATTTTAGATATTATATTTCATGTTAATGATATAAATTACTTTTCTTGCTCTTTCATTGCTCTCCACTTACTATTCATGTTTACATTTACATTTGTGGATACATGTATAGTGGCTCTTTTAAAGTTCTTGTCTGCTAATACCATCCTCTATGTCAATTTTGAGTCTTTTTAAAAATATTCTTTCTCTTTACTATTGGTCATGTTTTCTTTCTTCTTCTTATGTCTAGTAATTTTTTACTGGATGCTAGACATTATAAATATTATATTGTTGAGTTTCTGAACTTTTTATTTTCTTTAAAGAGTTTGGAAGATTATATTAGAAGGTAATTAAATTGTCCTGTTCACCAATTTAATATTTTTTAGGTTTATTATTAAGTTTGTTATGATGGATGTGGTGTGGTTTTTACTCTATTCTAGTGCTAATTTAGTATTGCTAACAGAACATGTCCAATTCAGAGTCTCTATCTAAATCCTGAATGTTCATTGAGATCTCTTCATTCTGGCTGGTTAAAACTTAAATCTGTCCCAGTCCTGTGTGACCTCTTGAAATTGCTCAGTTCACAATCCCCAATAATAGTCGTTGTTGTTTTTTTTTCCTCCATTAATTCTTTGCCTGCATCAAAACATCTCACGGTAACACATGTGCATCTTAGAAGCTGGCAAAAAATGTGAGACTTACAAGAAGCATTATGGGGCTATTTATTTGTGTGGTTTCCTTCCACCTTATACTTTTGTCCTCCAAATCCCAGCCAATTAACCTATGCTGAACTATAATCTCTGTCTCTTTGACTTCGTAATGCTACCATGATTTGCTTTGGTTCCCCATCCTGGATAGTGCCTTTATATAGACTGTACCTCATTGATTTATTTATTTTTTTCAGTGATCACAGTTCTGGGCTACCAGTGATCTAATGTCTGAAAATAGTTATTTCAGGTGTTTTGTTGTGTCTTCTAGTTGTTATAACAGGAAGCCATATCTGATTCACTTACCACCTCATGGCCAGAAGTAGATGTTCTCTTTAATTTTAAAAAAGTTGTCCAAATTTTAAGTTAAGTAAACATAAATTTTGCAGAATATTTAATGACTCATATTTTGCAATATTCTCTTTTGGGAATGCATAAACAACTACATGGGAAGCGAACAATGGCAAATGTTTGGAGAGATGAGCTTATTGGCTAATCTATATTATAAGCATTACTGCAGTCCCCTGTATGGGTGTAACATTATTCCCAGTAAATATATTTCACTGGATTTTGAAATGCCTTTGATATCTTCAACTTATAAAACATGGGAATAGAATTTTCTAGTAAAGTTTAAATATATTTGTTTGCTTAAGAAAACCAGTTTTAGAATTTTTATAATATAGTGACTTCAGTTCTTTACATCTTGACAAATTCAATAAAAAAGAACCGAAAATATGAGTGAAGAGAAATAGAAAGACAACATATAATCAACCTAAACAAAATTGAAATAATAAAATACAGAATGAATATGGAGCAAAGAAAGGAGGAGAAGAATTTTTTAAAGAAATAGAAAAATATTAGGAAACACTCTAACCAAGATATTCAGAAGTGAATTACTTAACTACATACTTCCATCCATTCAATTTGTAAAACACCCACATGGTGTGACTTGAAGCTCCCTATAGAGAGAGGTGAGAGAAGACAGCAGGATTGTAGGAAGGAAGAGAGGTCAGACTTAGAAAGAACATGAGCAAAGCATAAAAGTAAGAAAGTGCAAGGCAAGTTCTGGGAATGAAAACAAAACCAGTTTGGCTCCAGTGATGGGGAGTACTGTAAAATAAGACTGGAAAATATAAAATAAATTGAGGACAGATTATATAGGCTTTTGAATACCAGGCTGAGGATTTGCTGCTCTTTTTGGTTAAAAATGGGGAGTCACTGAAGGTTTTTGAGTAGGGGAGTGAACTGACCTTTGGGTCAATTACTCTGGCTGCAATGTGTAAAGCAGATTGGAAGAGAGAGAGAATAAAAGTGAAGAGACACCCTGGGAGGCTATTGAATTAGATCAGGTGACAAGTAATGAGAACCTGAACTATGAGAGTAGCAGTAGGACTGGGAAGAAAAGGATGAATTCAAGATATCTTTCATGGGTCAAATCTATTGGGCTTAGTAGCTAATGAGATCTGAGAGAACTGTTAAAAAAACATTGATGGGATTTTAAAGCCCGATTTAGTGAGAAAGTGATGAAGTAGGGGAATAAGGATGAAAAGCAGGTTGGAGTGGTGGTACGTGTATGTGTGTGGCGTGTTGAGGATGGTATTTTTTGGTGGTGATGGAAGCTTTACGGGGAAGAACTATTAAGATGGGTTTTGATATGCTGTCCTTATAATTAGTGGAAAGTAGCAGTTTTCAGGAAAAAATAGGATAAGTTCTAGAGTTAGAAAGACTGTATGTATCTCATAGTTGGTTCTCAATAAATGTTGACAACAAATTCTAATTAACTCCAATGAACATTTTAAATTCATTTGTTCAACAAATGTTTGTTTAGCTACTACTGTGTGCCAGGTACTGGTGTGGGTATTGAGAGATGTTGTTTTCAGTAGAAATGATATCTCCCTTATGAAGAATCTAGTCTATTGAAAAATAGCCAATTAAATGAGTATTTATATTAAACAATAATATGTATTGCTTTAAAGTACTGGTTGATATGGAAGAAGACAGATGGGATGTGTCCAAGTGTAGAACACTCACAGAAGACTTCTCAGATAAATATATGTCTCAGCTAAAAACCGAGTAGGAGAATTTCAGGCAGAGTGAAACTCAGTTGCAAAAGGAGATACACAGTTTGAGTCTTTTGAGGATTTGAAATAAGTTTATTATGGGTGAATCATAGAGTATGAATGAAGAAAGGTAGAGAGATAAGTATAGACCAGTTCATGAAATGTCTTGTCCACCTTTTAAAGTAATTGAGCTTTGTCTTAAGAACATGGGAATCCAATAAAGAGAAAATAGCCTATCAGATTTGCATGTTTTAAAGATCTATTAAGTATGTACCCTGAGCTAAAATACTTATCAGATCCTCAGGAGTTCAACACACAAATAGGAGCAGTGTAATGAGATAAGGTCTGCAATAGTTTAAAATGCCATTTATACAAGCTTATATTCATTAGACAAGTATAAAATGCCATAGAAACACAGATAAGAGAGCAATTAATATTGTCTGTTATGAGGGAAGTACTAAAGAAGACCTAAGAGAGAATCATTTTGAACTGGACCTGGCACGTTAAATAGACCCTTCAAATAAACAGTTTGAGTGCAGGCAGATCACTTGACACCAGGAGGTTGAGACCAGCTTGGCCAACATGGTGAAACTTTATCATGATCCCTGGAGGCGGAGGTTGCAGTTAGCCAAGATTACCCTCCAGCCTGGGTGACAGGGCGAGACTCCGTCTCCAAAAAAAAAAAACAAAAAAACAAAAAGTTTAAGTAAATACCCAAGTAAAACTTTACATACAATTTTTACAATCTCTCATCTGTGACCAATCTGTGTCCCATTACTGTTTTTCCTATTACCAATTTTCTCTCACATTGTTCGTTTATATTTGCCTTTAATGTTGATGTAAAGTTTATTGAAGTATACAAGTATTTCAATTTGTATAAGAAAAGCTATCCAATCACCAATGTATGCAGTATGGAAGTATTTTAATGTTTTAGCAACTGGCCAGCTTTACCAGTAAGTACGTATTTTCTGATCACTAGCACTGAAAGAAAACTCTGTTTTTGGCTGAAAACCTAGGGATTTGGCTTCTTGTGGCAGAGACTGCTAGCACTCTAGCCTCTGTCTGTCCCAGCTCCCCTGCAATTGGGCTGTCCATGTGACTGAGTTTGGTGAAATAATTTTATGGAATATGGCTTTTCCAAACTTGGCCCGAAAATGGTCCCACAAGAATGTTCACATTTTCCTCTCTTCACTCATTATTACGCAGATAATCCAAACAAGGACTTCGTAATGACCCCAGGAAATGGCGGAGCCACACGGTGGAAGGAGCTTGGATGAGGTGACCTAGTCACTGCTGGGAAGACAGCTGTCCATGAAAGCCACTCAGCCCAGATGAGATGATGAGGTGAGAGAGAAATTGACCTATTAGGGTTCAAGCCACTAAAATTTAGGAGTTGTTTTTCTACAACAGCTAATTAATTACCTTGAAAATGTAGTCTGTATGATTTTTCTCAGTGCTTCTAGGAATCTGAATGCTGCTCCAGGCCTTCAGTCTCCTCTATGAATTTATTGGTAGAAATCCCTGAAATTATCCCCAAATAAGGACATGTCTTCCCTTTACATAGTCAGTGAGCATAAAGTCAATGTTGATTCTTAGGAACTTTGACTATACCTTAAAATAATTTTGCTTTTAATTTTTAATGTCATTATTAATTATTCCAGTTAATAAATATTAAGCAGACATTGAGTTAGGTGATAGGTGGTTTCTGCCTTGCTATGGCAGACATTAGGTAGGTTTCTGGCTTAGTTGTTCTTATACTCTAATACTACCAGACAGTCATAAAAGAAATAACTTTTACAGCAAATTAGACTTACCATAATATAAAATATGGTGCCAATTTTTATAGTTATACAAAATATTACCTGGTGAAAAACACTTATTAAAGAAAGATATGCCAGGCAGGGAACATGTACCTATAGTCCCAGCTACTTGAGAGGCTGATGCAGGAGAATTACTTGAGCACAGGAGTTTGGGGGTATAGTGTGCAATGATCACACCTGTGAATAGCCACTGCACCCCAGTCTGGGCAATATAGCAAGACCCCATTTTGAGAGAGAGAGAGATTGAGAGACAGACAGAGAGAGAGAGAGAGAGAGAGAGAGAGAGAGAGAGAGAGATACTTTGCTCATTATTACCTGACTGCAAATAGATATTGGATCAGAATTAGTATTATCTATCATAGACATTTTTCAGATAATTAGGAATCTTGTTAAGGAAACCAAAATTTTGTTTAACTGTATAAGATACTTTTTTTCTAGCCAGATTCTCAGAAAAATATCACACATCACACTTTGTGTCTGGATCCAACACGAAGACTTAAAAGCCTTCATCATCATTCTCTCATTCAGCATCATGTATGGTTAACTCATGCAGGCTTGAGTTGGAAACCCTGTTTGATGCCTACTGGCTCTTTGACAGACCCTGGGCAATTTACATAACCTCTCTGCCTCATGAAATAATAGTACCGTATACTTCTGCCCTTGCTCCCCTGCAGTTCTTTTCTCAACACAGCAGCCAGAGTAATCCTGTTAAAACGTTTAAGTCAGATCATTTTATGACTTTGCTCAAAACTCACCAATGGCTTTTCATCTCACTCAGAACAAAAGTCAGTCTTTATAATGCTCTACAAGGCTCTATGTGATTGGATAACTGTCTGACCTCATTTTCTATTCCCTGTCTTGCTCATTCTATTCCAGTCCACTAGCTTTCCTGCTAGTTTTCAAATTTCCCAGTGAAAGGACAGGGTTTTAAAACTTGCCTGCTGTTCATCTCCTCAGTATCATTAGTGTTTCTGATTTGTCAACATCTTAGGTGACAGTTTCCGTACTCTTTAGAATAAACTGGTAATAATAATAATAGTTAACATTTTATTATGCTTATCACGTGCCAACGCAGTATCATTCAATCCTCACAGTAACCCCAAGAGGCAGTGATTTTTGTGTGCAGACTGGATCATACTGTGTAGGTTCAAATCCCCACTTCAGTACTTACTGACTGTGATTTTCGGCAAGTTATTTCATCTGTTTGCATCTCAGTTTCCTTATCTATAAAATAAGTATTAACATAGTAGTTCCAACCTAATTGATGTGTTTTGAATTAATATTTGTAAAGTGCCTAGAAAAGGGTCCAACACATAGCAAGCACTACATGAGTGGTTGCCAAATATTTAATAAAAATAAATTATTAACCCCTTTGTGCCTGTTTCATTATCTGTAAAATGGGGCTAATAATATAGGATTTGCTTCATAGAATTTGTGTGAGAATTTAATAATATAGCATGTGCAGATCATTAGTGTCTGATACATGGTAAGCTCTCAATAGTTAACTATTAATATTTTTAGTATTATAAGGATGTTTTGACAGATTAACTAAAACGTCCAAGTTTACTCAAGATGTAAGCAGCTGAATTGGGTCTTTGTCCAAGACTACCTTATGTAAAATGGCATTCTTAACCACAACCTTAAAGGTTTTTTTTGTATGTGAGTTCTTATCATTTAAGTGACATATAAATGCCTTCAACTTTCTTTTCCTTTGTGTATAATGATAGATGTTTTTAAAATATGTTTTAAAAATCCATCTGCATCATTTTTGTCTCATTTTCCCAAGTTTTGATAGTGCCTCATTTCTAATCTAGATTCTAGATATGTAGATAAAAATGGCATAAACTCACTGGAAATTTGTAGAGATTAGAGATCACCAACTCTAAATTTCTCGTGGGACGGAATGCTTTCTCCTCTACCATGACCTCATTCTCAACTGCCAAACTGCATCACAAGGAACGAGAGGTGAGGGTTCTTGCTGGATTGAAGAAGAATGGAGTTCATGAGACAGTCTTAAGGACATCTGGAGACACCGATCCTATGTGGACATGGCAAAAATAGTCACACAGATTTTAGAATTACAGCGCCCCCCCCGACCCTTTCTTTTTGTGTATTTGTTTCTTTTGAATTACTGTTGTTTTTCTGTGATAAAAATTAGAGAAAATTGTTAGAGAGCACTGTAATACAATAACATAAGCTAGATTATTTCTAAATCATTAAACTTGTTTCTCATCCTTCATTTGTTCAACCACAAGAAACTATAATAAGCTGCAGTCAAAAAGAAACAGTTATTGAAAACAAGTTAAGGTAAACAAAGACAGCCAAGTATATGTTTTAGAATGTTTTCACAGGGAAACATCTGCAAAATGTTTTTGCAGTGGGAATAGCACAAGTGTTTACATAACAATTGTGCAGCGTATTTTCTGGCAAAGAGGACACACCCATAGAGCACATTTAAAAATATTTGTGTATTTCAGCTACATTTTCATTGGCAATAGACACACAACCACAGTGACTGGGCATCAATCAACATCTCATTTCCCAGTTGTTTCACAAAATGTATAATGAGTCAAAAATGTATTTGGTTTCACACATATGCATTCTTAACTTTTCTGTCTCATGAAATGCACTACTGGAAAAACTGGACACATTTTGAATACACAAATTAAGAATCATCTGAATGGAATGATGTCTCTATTTTTTAAAACAAGTCTCATTAAAAGCAAATATTTTTATTTAATTCTGAGAAAAGAAGACTTTCCTATAAAAATAAGGTTTTTTTTTTTAAGAACAAACAATTTACTATTAGTACTGTGCAATAAACAACAATGTGTAATTCTGAAAGAGCCAGAAATTCTTTTTCAAAACATAAAATGAAGGCATCTTTAACTCCACTTTGAACTGGGGCTAATTGACAGTACTTAGCAAGTAAGAACTCTATGTACGTAAGGATAAATCATTAGAAAAGAAGATGAAAACATAGCCAACTTTGGAATATATAAAACAAACATGTTTGGGAAAGTAGAGTACAAGTGTATATGAGAAGCAGTCGCTGCTACTGAACAGCTTATCAGTTTAGGCAACATTTTTACAAGCAATGTCTCTGCAGTCAGTTAAGTGCTGTGATAAGTGGGATTTGGGAGATAGTCCATCAGAAACACTTTTCACGGTGCCAGTGCCAAATATTAGTGGATTGAATTGAAGTAAACACCATTTGATTCATATTTTCATGTGTGACTCATTACATAAATATCAACATGTAACTTGACTTTGCTGACACCAAAGCAAACAAAGACCTTGAGTAGAAATGTAAAGACACTCCCTTTCAGCTCCAGCTTAACTCTGCAGTGATAAACTCATGTACATTGCATGGCAAACCACAGCCAGCTATCAATCCAGACGACGCAGCTAGTACTCACCTAAAGTCATCAGTTCGTGGCAGGATTCTGAAGCCCAAAGATGAATAACCTAGTGCTGTTTACCACCAGGGATCAATTAATTAAATGAACAATTTAAGTAATCAATTGAATCCATCTCTCCCAAAGTTATAGACAGGTTCAGAAAAATAAAATAAAATCAAAGAGAAAAGAAGAATTATTAAAAAGTAGAAATCATTTTGCAAACATAAAGCTAAGGTGAAAAGTTATTTTAAATATATATATATATATATATAATTTTACTTTAAGTTCTGGGATACATGTGCAAATTGTGCAGGTTTGTTGTACAGGTATACATGTGCTATGGTGGTTTGCTGCACTTATCAGCCCATCATCTAGGGTTTTAAGCCCCGCATGCATTAGGTATTTGTCCTAATGCTATCCCTCCCCTAGCCCCTCACCCCCGATAGGCCTTGGTGTATGATGTTCCCCTACCTGTGTCCATGTGTTCTCATTGTTCAACTCCCACTTATGAGTGAGAACACGTGTTTTTCTGTTTCTGTGTTAGTTTGCTGAGAATGATGGTTTCTAGCTTCATCCATGTACCTGCAAAGGACATGAACTCATTCTTTTTTATGGCTACATAGTATTCCATGGTGCATATGTGCCACGTTTCCCTTATCCAGTCTATCAGATGGGCATTTGGGTTGTTTCCAAGTCTTTGCTATTGTAAATTGTGCTGCAATAAACATATTTTAATATACTTTGAATGAGATTTTGATATTAGACCAATGAATGTTCTCTTTACTCTTGGTGATTTAGAGCAACTAATCTTATCCACAAATTTCAAATAAGTTAGATTATGTTCTATTCTGTTTATGTAATAAATTGTTTTCAACAGAATATTATTATTAATAGAAATTCAATTTCCTGCTCTTCTCTCCTCTTTCTTCTACTTATACCCCTCTTTCACCAATAATTGTTGAACAGATTTAAAGAGGTTGTAAATTCAGATGCCTTTAGGGACTAGTCAGGAAATAAGGAGTTAACCTGGCCTGGTAGGGGCTGTGACCAGATTTACTGTCAAAGAAGGTGAGCTGATTTAGTTTAGCCAATTGTTACTTTGAAGATACTTGGGCATTTGACAAAATTTCTGAGATTATTTTTATTATAAGCTGGAAATTTGGATTTTTTTATATGAAAGCTTTCAACTTTAAAATGTTAGCAACTAATAAAAGCACTTTATAAAACACTATATAGGTAGACTAGGACATGTTTTATGACCAATTCAACAACTTGTGGCAGCATGTATTGGTCCACACCTAGTCATGAGGCACACAATGCTATGAGAGCACACAAAAAGGGAATCGAATCAAATATGGGGAATTTTAGTAGGTCCGTCAGTTAGGATTAGCTGGGTTATGTGCGATGACAAGGAACCCTAAACTCCAGTGGTTTACATAAACAAAGGTTTTTTTCTCCCTTGTGATATATGTCTATAATAGGTAAACAAGGAGGTTTTGCTTGTCATAATTAGAGATCCCGGCTGATAGAACAGGTCCTATCTGGAACATATGGCAGAAGGAAAAAAGACATGGCAAGCCTCACAATGGCTCTTTAAATGACACACATCATTTCAGCTTTCATGGCATTGGTCAAAAAGCTAGTCACATAGTATACAGTAAAGAATGTGGTCCTGCTTAAAGAGAGATCTGGCCTTTGCTCTCAGCTTCAGTTTGGTATGTCTTGGTTTAGTGTGAAAACTAACTACACCTGACAGTCTTAGGATGAGACATGGCCATGCCAGAAAGACCAGTCATGGGATTTAGAGTTACGGACTATGCAGTTTACTTTGGGTTATGCGGTATCAGTTGACTTGCAAACTAAGTACAACTGCTTGGACGACCAATAAATCAACCAGCCATGCCTATGTAATGAAGCCTCCATAAAAACTCTGGACATCAAAGCTTGAGTGAGCTTCCCTTGTTAGCAATATTCAAAACATATTGATACTAAGCGAGTAACGGGTCCCTCAGACAACAGAAGCCTTCTGTTTGGAATCCTCCAGACTCTGCTCCATGAGTCTCTTCCTTTGACTGATTTTTATCTGCGTTCTTTCTCTGTAATAAGCCACATATGTGAGTACAATAGCATTTGCCGAATTCTGTGACTCTTCTAATGAATTATCAAACCTGAGGATGGCTTTGAAAACCTCCCCAAACTTGCAGTTTGTGCTGAAAATGAGGGAAGCTTTGGGAGACTGTGCCTTAAAACTTCACAGTTTGGCTAACTCTGGGCACATGGTCGCTCCTCAGTTTAATCAGTTGGGAGTGTATATAGTTCCCTCAGTGAGAAACATTACGGGTAAGAAAACTGGAAAACTTACATTTTAATGCAATATGCCACAGTAGGATTTAGGGAAAAAATGATACCTGTACTCTGTCATAAAGGATATAGGAGTCAGCCAAGTAAAGAAAGTGGAGAAGTCTGTGCAAGGTTAGGGGCAGAGTACACGTAATCATGAAGTAGTGACGCAGCATGAGATGAGCAGAGAATTTACACACAGTTTTGATTCCCACATTAACCAATGGGGAGCAGGAAGTCTGGGCCGAGTCATAAAGGGCTTTACATCGTTAGGAAGATAAAAATGCTTAACAATAAGCAGGACTGACTGGGAAGAGGAATCTTGGACTGGGTCAGCCCTATGACGTCAGTACTAAAGATGGACACTAGGAGAAACTTCATCAGGAAGTCAGTGTGTGAGAGACAGCTAAGAGCAGACTCAGAGAAGCTCCATGTAGGAAGGCTTTTTATCTGGAGCACTCGTTGTTATTCAATCAAATGGGAACTTTATATTCTTAAGGGTTTGAAAATGCTTAACAAAATTAATTGTTCGCTCATCAAGATCTTTCCATTTTAGTGAATACGTTTAGTCCTCTTCCTTGGGGGAATTTAGAGCTGTTCTGGGACACTTGGCTCCCTGAATGTCTGGGTTTTGAAGAGGTGACCTGAAGACTTGAAGTCCAAGTGATAGAAATCTTTTTCTTCATGTATTAGTGGCCCTGGGAAATACAGCCAGACATATAAGGACCCAGAATACTGACATATTTGTGTTTCTGAAAAGTGTGCTCTTCTGGCAGATTGTTTTTAAGAAATAAGAGTGTTTGAATAATAATTTGCAATAGTAACTGGTATTCTTTTTCTTCAATGACCATCCTAATTCTAGCTACCTAGGGGAAATTGTTAGGGAAAAAAAGAGAAATAAATGATAAATTCTTAGTTTTAGAATTCTAAAAGTGCTCTCTAGCTACAAGAGATAAAGGGTTTATGAGGTATACAATCTTGCAGAAAAGTTTATTTTTTTCATCCAGACCATGAATTAAAAAGACCATAAGCACTCAAAGATAAATCAAGAGGGTAGATTTGACACTGTAACTTTAGGGGATGGTGCTCTGTTTAATTTTCCAGCCTCATCTCTTGGGAATAATAATAAAAAGGAACTCTTATTTGCAATGGGAAGCACAGAATAGAATAGACTGGTGTTTGGCGTTTACTACCAGACTCTGAAGTTTCGTCTATCAGAGCTGGCTGGGACCAATACTGATCTTAGGTCAGCATGATTATCTGCCGCTGGCTCTAAGTCTCCCCCAGGCTCATACATGCTTGGAAGATCAGTCACATCTTCTAGGAGGACCCACAAAAGCTAAGAGTGGACCATTAGATACAAAAGAATCTGATAGTTGGGACAAGGAGAACCCAGGGAATAATTTGCTTGACCTCAGTGACACATCAGTTAATTCAGAATGGACAGATTCTGATAGCAAAGCCTATGATGAGAAATTTGTCAACGTTGGTGAGTTTTGAATGGAAGTGGGCCTCACTTAAAAGACCAGATGACATGAGGAACATTTTTTGAGGGAAGCCAAAACAGAACTGAGATAGATCAAGGCCCAAAACAGTTCTCTTCCACACATACTTATGCATAGTGGAATTCAGCGCTTTTCCAACAGACAGATGAGTGGACAGGGCAAGACTGAAGATTTAAAAACACCATACATGCCATGATAACCTGCTCACTCATAACTCCACTGTTGACTCTCACCTAATCTCCAGACTTGTGTATCTAGCTGCCTACTCAACAACTCTAACTAGATGTTTAATTGGGATTGCAAACTGAACAGTTCCAAAACAGGAATATGTTTCAACTCTAACTAGGACTGGCTACACAATTTGGGGGCTCAGCACAAAATGAAAACATAGGACTCCTTGTTCAGAAAGTAAGAAAATAAATGACACTAAAGGCACTAAAATATTAAGCATTTTCCTTTCATCTACCTGGTCTCTCTCAACATGTTATGGTATTTTTTCTTCCACTGTGGTGCAAGGTCCCATAGGTCATTGAGTAGGGCAGGGAGTGTGAGGCAGGGCAGGGCCCAGGACATCTGCCAAAACCTGTTCTAGAGAAGTAGCGTCAGCCAGAGGCATAACCACACATGAGTAAAGGGACATATGAGGCTCCAAAGTCACATTGGAATTCATTACGAAACATAAAACTAAGAGAAAATGTCAAGATGGCAAATACAGAGAATTAAACCCCAAGTACGGGGCAATGTCGCCAGAAAGATTTGTGCAACTGACTGGCCTCATACCATGAAGTTGGCCCTGACCCCACTCCTAACACTGCTACTACCAGAGTGGCCATGCCATTAAATAACAGCAAAACTTTACAGTTATTTAGTGTTCATAACCAAGAGTTGTTCTTAATTTCTTTAAAAACAATTTGCATCAGTTACATAAGGAGCTCCTGTCAGCCTGTATCTAAAATATAAGCTCTATCCAACTACTTTCACTACCTCCTGGGTCATTACAACAGCCTTTAACTGTTTCTCCTGCTTTAATTCTTGCACACCTACAGTCCATCCTCCATAGGGCAGCCAGACAGCAGACCACCTTTCTTCTCAAAATCTTCCAATGGCTTTGCTACACTTTAAAATAAAATTGTTATCATGATGTACAAGTACCTACATAATGGAGTCTCTATCTGTCTCTCTCACTGTATCTCATAGTCCTTACATATTGAAATTTCATTTAAAAATCTCTGTTTAAAAGTTTTCATAGAGCTCAATATCCAGCTCCCTTACCTGCTTCCTAGAGTTTGGTAAGTGGGGCTGAAAGTTCTAACCCTCCAATTACTTGGTCTTTTTGGTGACCAATCCCATCCTGAGGCTCTCTAAGGCAGCGGTTCCCAACCTTTTTGGCACCAGGGACCAGTTTCATGGAAGACAATTTTTTCACAGACCAGAGGTGGGGGGATGGTTTTGGGATGATTAATGTGCATTACATTTATCGTGCACTTTATTTATATAATTAATAATTGTAATATATAATGAAATAGTTATACAATTCACCATAACGTAGAACCAGTGGGATCCCTGAGCTTGTTTTCCTGCAACTAGATGGTCCCACTTGGGAGTGATGGGGGACAGTAACAGATCATCAGGGATTAGATTCTCATAAGGACTGCACAACCTAGATCCTGCACATGTGCAGTTCGCAATAGAGTTTGCGATCCTGTGAGAATCTAATGGCACTGCTGATCTGACTGGAGGCAGAACTCAGTTGGTAATATGAGTGGCAATGGCGAGCAACTGTGAATACAGATGAAGCTTTGCTTGCCAGCCCACCGCTCACCTCCTGCTGTGTGGCCAGATTCCTAACAGGTACCGGTCTACAGCCTGGAGGCTGGGGACCCCCTGCTCTAAGGGGTTCCTCCTTAGGTCACGTCATTAGCTTGAGCTCACATGTGATGGAAAAGAGTTTGTGATGAATTACCAAAAATACTCCTATCACTTAGAAAATTTCAAGGGTTTTAGGAGCTCTGTGTCAGGAACTGGGGACAAATACCAAATAGATTTTGTGTTATGCCACATCTATCTAAAATGGAAACATGCTCTTTCTCTTTCTCAGCTTTATTTTTCCTATTCACACTTAGCATAACCTTTTAGTTAGTAATTTATTTGCTGATACGTTTATTTTCTATATCTCCAAGTAGAATATGAGTTCTAAGAAATCAGAAATCAGAAGCTTTGGCTGTCTTATCCATCCTTTCATCTGCAGAGCCTAGAACAGGAACCCAAAGTAAGCCCTCAATAAATATTTGTTGAATGTTAAAAATAAGCATATGACTGTGTATTTAACCTAACATTACTGAGCAAATCAATAAATTTAACCAGTTATACCCAGAAATGACTAGATTATTTTTTAATGTAAGGTAGAACTAGGGTTTGGAATGAGCAGTTAAGTTCAGTTATGCAAATGTTATATCTTTGCCCACGTGAGTCTTCACTATTTTATTTACAGCCACCATGTCAACATTTCTATAAGCTCCTGTAACTACTGATTCAGGGAGCTTGAATTGAACAACGCTTAACATTATATGTGAGACTTGCATTAATTTTCTATTGCCACTGTAACAAATTACCACAAATGTAATGACTTAAAACAACACAAGTGTGTTGTTTTTCAATCTGTAGATCAGAAATCCAAACTGGCTCTTAGCGTGGAGGTATCGGCAAGGCTGTGCTCCTTCCAGAGGTTCTGGGAGGAAAATCTGTTTTCTTGCTTTTTCCATCTGCTAGAAGCTGCCCACATTCCATTGCTCATGGCCCCTTTTTCTCCATCTTCAAAGCCAGCAGCAGCAGGTTGAATCTTTCTCAAGTAACATTTCTCTCACCTGTTCTTTCTTTTCCATTTTTAAAATGTCATATGAACAAATTGCGATCTCCTGGATAATACAGAACAATCTTCCCATCTCAAGGTCCCTAACCTTAACACATTTTTAAAGTTTCTTTTGCCTGGTAAGGGAACCTATTTCTAGGTTCTGGAGGATAGAACTCAGATATCTTGCAGAGAGGGGTGGAGAGGCAATATTTAGCCTACCACAACTGGAAACCAGTGTTAGTCCCTGATTAATCTTATTTTTTAACTAATTCTTGGCAGCTTCAGAAAAGATGTTACTAACTCAAGTGAGTATGCGAGTCAGGCAGCTGAATGAAGCTCACCAGGTGTGGATCTTGGTGCACAGGACAGTGTGTGCTCAATTAAAGGGTCAATAGTGCCTTTGCTCCAACCAAATGTTACCATCCAGCAGTGTGAACCCAGGATGATCAGTTCTTTCACCTTTTCAAGAGAACTTGGAAAAACATATTTGTATTTAGAAACCTCTAATTTTGAAATATTGGCAACAATTACACAATGTTTTTCAACACTATGAAGAACAAAACAAGACATGTCTGTAAGCTGACCCTGGTCTCTGAGTCTTAGCCTAGTGTGCCACCTCAGTCCTGGGTGACCAAGAGGAGTCCCCTTTGTCAATCTCTCCAATAAACTTTTCATAGGTAATAATTACATGTCAGCCTAGTGAGTTAGGTTCTAGGTATTAGGAACTAAGGTATAGAATTTTAATTCATCCACCAATGTCTATCTCTTGCAGTATATTACTTTGAGTGAATTCATACCTTGTTACATGGAATGAATATGTATTACTAAACAGACATTTCATTAAAACATTTTTGTCTTTATTTACTCACTCAATAATTCTTGTGTCTATTTGTTGAGCAAGTTCTTCTTTGAGGCACAGTAGAGAATGGGAAGATAAATCAGAGTGCTTTTTTTCTAGAAACCTTCCATCAAGTGTTCACACATTAAAATTTTGACAAAGATTATTGAACTTCAGTTAAAAAAGAAGTCACTTTTTGAGTGGAATCAAATCTTCATATATGAAGTATATTTAAGTTGGGCCTTAAAGAATAGATACTAAATATTCCATTTCTTTTTTCTTGTAATTTTTTTTTTCTGTGTATAACTTGACAGTTTTGTCTTTAGGTCCTAGGTTTATATGGACCTAGCTACATAATTATGTCTAGATAGCTTATTAATGAATGCAATTTTTAAAGGATGTACTAACATTGAAAAATGAATACTGATTAAAGAAATTAATCTTAACCCACATTTTTCTCCTGCAGCTTTAGGAATGCCTAGATAGATGGAAAATATAGTGTATTGTCTTAGTATTTGAACCAAAAGTAAAACTTAGAATAAGTGCTAGTGCAATAAGAAATGTTAAATGTGATGGGCAAACCAGCTGAACAAACAGGCTGGAAATTTTTTTTATGAAACTCACCTTACAGAATTTCACCCAATAAAACACATGGGCATGCGGTATTAATTTTTTCTACATCTATGTATCATCACAAAAGGCCATTTTTAATCATATTCTGCCTGCACATTTAGTCCCATTTAGACACAATTTATGAACACTCACTTTCTTATTTGAATTCTACCTTTTGACAAAATGGGCAAGAATCCAACATGGTTAACTATTAGTTGAATACATTTAGACCTGAATCTTAATGCAAAACAACACAAATTCAACAGAACTCAACATACCAGGAAATTGTGAGCCTTTATTTTATTTGATGTCTTCAATATACCTCCGTTCTTTTCAAGATAACCTCACTAATAAATATATTTGAGTGCAAATAAAAGGAAATGCAAGTTATACGACAGCATTCACAAAAAAATCTCAGCCCTCATTTTGATCACGTAAAACTACTAAAGCAGGAGATAGAAAAACCCAGGTTTTTAAACCTGTCTATTCCTCACTATAAAAGATTATCTCAAGAAAACTGAACTGTATCACTTTTCCCAGCTCAGAAATAGATTTGTCTAGAAATGAAGTGGTACAGGACAATATCAATTAACTCACTACAGCTTTTCCAAATAGACATTTAAACACGCTTTCTCTGTCTTATTCTTTCCTATATCTTCCGAGGCATTTGTGAATAGAGTTAGACAAGAAATCCTTTGTTGTTATAGTCAGAAAATATAGTCTATTGGGGCAGTAATCAACACAACTAAGTAATATTGTCATTTGAGCAATTTAGTGTGTATTGCTATTATTTCCAACAGCATAATAGTTTTCCTCTGAAATATTTTTGGATGTCTCACACCAAATGCTAATGGGACAATGTTTGCAATATTTTCTATCCTAGTTTAGTTTGCATTTTATAACACATAGATGTTTCTGAGCCTTCTTTAAGTGTGTGGTTCTGGTACTCTTATTGGAACCGTCTGTATTTTTTTAATCCCAGAAAATTCAAATAAAAAGATTTTATTTTGCCTTTAATAAGCTGCATATTTTTTTAAAAAATGAATATCCATGTGTTACTTGTTCTTATAGTATTTGTTGTTTTCAAAAAAAAAAAAGACACCTGTTTATCCAATGTTCATCAATCCTCATGTATTTTGTTAAAGTTGACTAGAGCCATCATAGTTCCCATACAGATTTACAGAAATGGCAGAATTTAGCCAACTTACCAAACCATAGTGCGCAGACTTTGCTGTTGTACACTAGTGTAGACAATCTCTTTGATATTGGAATCCCTAGGGACAAGTTTGAGAGGGTGCTGAGTTGCTTCAAAAAGTATAGTATTTAACACCAGAAAAATCTATTGTGAAGGAGCTAGCAGTGCTGTACCACTGTGCTGAGATGTTCTTTCTGAGAGTAGAATTTCAATAAAAGAACAGAATAATGTACTGTATTGATTTAATGTGGAAGACTACAGTGATTCTTACATTTTTTGTTTGTTTGTTTGCTTGTCCATTCTTTATACTTGAGCACTGTTTCCATATTTTTCTAACACGGGAAGCTAAGTTCCCATATTAATTTCAGGTCAGTTTTGAATACATCAATTCAAATAGTGGAAGCTCATCAAAACTTCCACTTATAAATGCTCTGGCAGTCTTGGTCAGTCAACTTCTATAATTTCTGGATTAAAAGGCTCATTGCTTGGTGGCAAATACATGAGAAATCCTGAGTCTAACCTTGCACGGAGTTCATGGATATCAGGTTTTAATGAAAAAAGAAACATTTTCAGAAATGTTCCAATTCAACACAGCACAAATATACACACACAAGATTTTATAAAGTGTAAGTAGATCACAAGTTCAGGCCTCAAAAAACTCAGTAATCAATTTAATATAAAATGACACGCAATTATATTGCCTTGCTTGCTTTTTTAATAAATTTCACTCTTTGTTTTAAACAGCTTTTCAAGAAGGTGCTTGTTACAGTAGTCTTTTGGCAGGCTGTTCCCCAAACTATGGGAAGAAGTGAAAAGTAAAATGGAGATGGCAGAAGCCGAATGATGCCTTTCAATTGACTGACAACATCATTCCCTATTACTACTACCTTGTAGACTGCCAAAAAACTAATGTACTTTAGACATCTAATGTAATTAATTCAGGACCACAATTCCGAATCACAAACCTATATTGAATTCAGTAGGCAAAAGAAAAATATGGTCTGGAGGAGAAAAAAATAATATCTTTTTGCACAGCTACCTCTAATTTTAAAGTGTATAAATTAAACATTCTTTGATAATAATATGCAATGACAGCATAATCATATGCTAACATTTAATCACCTTTTATATACAATAATACCCTGATTCTTCTTTAAAATTTTATGTTGTATATTGCTGTACATTTTTCTTGCTGATTGATTCTCTTTATTACTACTGATTTTATTTATGCTGCTAATTTTTTTCCTAAGCATATATTTTAATGAGTAGTTTTGTTCAGCTAACGTCTACAGAATAAGAGAATTCAGCACACCTGCCTAAATAAGATGCTTGAGATCACTGAGGAAAGAAATTGACATTTTACTTTACCCTCAGCATGGAGCCAGGGGCAAAGTTTGATCTGAAAACTTGCAAATTAACCAAAACTGTCACTCAGGAGTTATGGGCCTGAATGCTGCAAAATATGTTCTTTGAAGTCCTCATTTCAGCAAAATTATTAAAAACTTTATATCTAATTAAAATTGTAACTGCATTCCCATTTTTCAAAATCTCTATATCCTCAGGGCCAATTGGGATGAGTGAATTTGCACCCTCCTCTCTGCAGCACGCTGAACTGCTCCTACAGCAATATCAGATCATTACCATCTCCCCAGCTGAGAGGGAGCAGCCATTATCATGCAGCATTATTAATCTTCTTGTCTTATCAACTTGCAAATCACAAGCCATTGAGCCTTATGGCATGGTTCTGGGTCCATAGTTATTCATTTTGTAGGTCTACCTAGCCTTTGAGTCTCCTTAATCACCTGAAGATTGTCAGTCTCTTACCTTGGCCTGCCCCTGTGGCCCTGCTCAGCTCCTGTGAAAAGTCCATGATGTTCTCTCTCTCTCAAAAAAAAAAAAAAAAAAAAAAAGACTTTTTTATTTAAAAGAGGAAGAGAGAGAGACAGTGTATGAGAAAGAGAGAGGGAGAGACAGTAAGGAGGATAAATTTCATTAATGGATGTGAATTAACATCCTACTGCCAAGAGCTGACCCTTTCTCCTGACATGTACGTCTAAGTCATTCTTGTCACTCTTTCCCCCATTAATATTCTGAAAAAGACAGTGCATTGAAGAGAATAGAATAAGATAGTTCCCTTAAACAGGCACTGTTGACCTTAGGTTGGGGATTTTTCTTTAATTTGCTTTTCTTAAAAATAAAATATTAATCATATTGGAAAAGGCGAGCAGAGTTCCTTTACATTTTTTCAATATATTGCATTCATTAAATTAAGTCATTGAACATTTTCAACATTTTTAAGTGCCAAAGGAAGATAGAAATGTAATTTCCAAGGGAAAGTAGATGAGACAAGCTAAGGTACCCTTGTGACAACTCCTATTTCTGCCAAACTCAATGTACATGCCATAAACACTGGTCTTTTGGGATCTTAAATGCCTCCTGATCATTTTACTACTATAAGTTTTTAATTTCATGAAAGTACAGTACTCCAACATGATTTTCAGCTCTTAGCAAAAATTCACTTGTAGGATCTTTATAATCATTCCTATGTTATGGTTACTTTTATTAAAACATTATTTTACGATTTTTGTTGATTCCTGCATTTATGCAAAACACAACACAAACTAAAACAAGTATTTCACCTAGATTTTTACTTCATTATGCTTATTCAAAGTAATGCAGAAATATTTAAACTCACATTATATCTAGGGACACCATTGGCTATCACTATCATATGTAATGATAACATTATGACTTTGTAATTAAAATAATTTTGCCATGCAAAAATAAGATTGTATCCCTGTAATTGCCTGGAAAGAAGCTTCATCCTTCTATCATTTCAAAAAAAGGTCATTTAAATGAGAAACTGTGATATGAATTTGGAAAGGACTGCAGTGTACAGTGGATTATTATACTAGCTTTTTCATCTCTTGAGGCCCATGTTCAAAATGCAACTTAGGACACTTGTGAAATGATATTAACAGTAATGATGAAACCCTAAGTGCACATTAGTACACATACATATCTTAAAACTTTAAAATGCAACTAATTAGAGACCTGGCCTCGAAATAGCAAGGGTCCGTACTTTAGAATTAAAATATATTTATAGCTCTATCTGAGCATCTCAACATGGTGCATTTGCAGAAAACTTATTTTCAAAAAGCATGAAATCCCTACATATTATTTATGATTTGAACTAAATATGAAATGGCTAAATTAGTGAAAAGTAATATTTAGGTCTTCAAATAAAAACATTTATTGGTTTCTTATTTTAATTGTGCTAGATTGTGCAGGAAATATTAGTATTCGCTTAGGCCTAGTTTAGCTAAGTGTAAAGTAGAGTAATTAACTAATATATTCAATTTAGTAAAACACCCAGTCAGGAAAATTCTTCTTCAATTCCAGGTTAAACATAGCCTTTGAGGAAGGTGGGATGGGTAGTAAAAGCAAAATCAAGGAAAACCACAGAAACAAAGTATTTGGTTTTTAGGTAGAAGCTCACTACCTTTAGGCAATCATTTGTACATTTAGGATGAGCATTTCTCCATAACTGAACATTTTGTCTTCCCATTTTTATAACACAAACATAAGCTTCTGGTTTAGTGACGTGGACCACTTGCATACTCAATTACTAATATTTGAATTTAATTTCTTATGTAGAAAAATGTTCAATTTCTAAATGAGAACAGATAATGTTAATGTTGCTGTGTTCTGAAGGAAATTACGTTCGCTTTTTTTTTTTCCTTCTGCAGTGTGGGTCAGGGATAACTCAGTCACCAAATATTTATTCAGTACATACCATGTGCCAGGCACTGTCCTGGGTGCATATAGGATACATTAAGAAACAAAACTAAGACCTTCACTCTCATGCAGTTGTAGGAATGAAGTGGATGTGATTACTTTCCTCTTCATCATAAAGGTGACAACTGACACTCCTATAACAAAAGGCAGGTTAATGAAAGAAAAGCAAAAAATAGGTATTTAATTGAAGTTTTATGTGACATGGGAGCCTTCAGAAATGAAGAGCCAAAGATTTAAGAAAAAACTCTCTATTTTTATGCTTAGGTTTGAGGAAGAATGGATAGCTGTATATAAATGTGATTGAATAAAAAGGGAATAATCTTACATAATAGACAAAGTGGGAAAACCCAGCAAGGCCTCCCTGTTTTAGTTTCTTCTTGGTCTCTCTGTGTGGCTTTCCTTGCTCCATGGTAGAAGACAGGGCCCCTTCTGGAATGAGGATCTTATGACCTTTCAGACATGGTAGGTCAGAGATTCTTTACATCCCATTCCTATACACAAAAAGGTGGAGAAAGTCTAAAGTAATATTTCCAGTTTCTATGATCCACCTTGGGAAAGAGGCATTCTAGTTATCTGCCTTGGGAGAGTAAGGGAGCAGGAAAAAGAAAGCAGGAGGTCTGAAAAAGACTTTGCTTCTGAGGCGTTGCCAATATCCTTCAGTTCAAAGTACACAGCACGCCAAAGTGCTGTACTCTGGGGTATCATTTTTGAGCCCCAACACACAGCTAACATTCCAGGGATTAGAGACACACAGTGAACAATAAGCATACTGGGAAAATGACACCATATTTTAGGTGATATATGCTAAAGTATAAGATAAAATAGATCAGATAAAAGGCAATTGGTAATTTGGTAGTATGAGATGGGTTGGGGTGAGAATGTTATGTTAAAATAAGTAAAAAGTGAGAAAGTCTGTCACATGGAAATCCAGAGAAAAAAACATTCCAGGCAAAGAGGACACCATTGGAGAGTTGTGAGCAGTGGAGTAACATGATCTAAGATATATTTTAAAAAGATCAGTCAGGTTGCTATGTTGAGAAGAGACTGTGAGTGCAACAGTAGTGACCAAGAAAATCCTAATGGTTCCCTCAGCTTGACTAAACTTTATATAGGTTTCTTTCTAACGACAGCCTCTTGTCCTTTTTCTTACAGCAATTACTTCAGAAAACTTGCAATTATGAATGCTTTCTCTGCTTCTTTGAGATGTAAATATTCTCGCAGCCTCTTGCCAATTTCACAACCCAGGAATGTCTTTCTCAAGGACCTTGGAGCCATCTCTTTGAACTCTAATCATCAAGAAAGATCGTGTCCCTATTTCCCAGTCTCTGTGGGAGGGTAGGAGTCTAACTTTCATAAGCCTCAATTGGCAAACACAGATGGCTTAATCACATTGACAACCTGACCGCTAATGTCCTCCTCTACTGTTCCACCAGCTCTCCTAGTGCTTTCAAAGTCTCCTGCCTTTTGTTTCAACAGGGTTGAGTTCAATCACTCTTCCCTATTGCGGTATACTTGAATAAAGTTTTATTTTGTCATTTTAACAATTGTACACTGCATTTTTTTTTAACAGTTCAAGCAGGAAGATCTACTTGGAGGCTACTGCAATTATCCAGGCAAAAGATGATAGTAGCTCAGTCCTGGGTAATAGCTGTCTGACTATACAGCTAATAGAATAGAATAAATATGGGGTGTAAGAGAGAGGAATCGATTATGATTTTAGGTTGTTTGGTCTGAGTGACTGGAAGGAAGGAGTTGCTACCAGCCATGATGGGGAAGGCTATGGGAAGAGCTTGTCAGAGTATTTGTTTGAACACTCCATTTCTGAATTCACCTTGAGTTTTTGCACAATTAAAAGAAACCATTTAAATCTTCATATCTTTAAAGTCAACACTTTCTCTTTATATTCATGTATTTCATACAACAAATTCTCACCATTCCTTTCCTAAGTTAAGAAATGAGTTGCCTTCAGTGACTCAAACTGTTTATTTTTATTAGATTTGGTGCCAGGAATCATTTTATTTAATTATCTTTTATTGTGGGTTGTATAATATGTACAACAGTGTATAAAATGTATTCCTTCAGTTTAAAGAATAATAATAATTTAAAAACACAACTGTTCTCTCATGTACAGTTTAAAAGACAAAACCCTTATCAATAACTTTGAGGATCTCATTGTGCTCTTCCCAAATATATTCCCCTCTTTATCCACAGAGGTAACCAATATCTGAATTTTGTGTTGTTTCTTATTTTGCTTTACTTTTAAAGTGGCTTTAGCAATGTAGTGGATACTGTGGTATGTACCCAAATCAAACTTTCAGGACAAAGGCACTGTTTCACTATGGATATGTAGATAACAACAACATGTTTTAAACCATATATATATATATATATATATATATATAAAATATGTGTGTATATAATTTTTATTACATATAATTTTATTAAATATATATTAAATTATATAATATTATATAATTTTATTTAAAAAAGTAAAAATAACATAATTGTTACTTAAAAAAATAAAAAGGCACTCATTCCCCCTGCTGCCAGGAGTGTCACCTGACACCTCGCATCTGTGTTCCTCTCTAGGAAGTGCTGGGCCTGCCATGGGAGAAAAGGAACTGTACGCCAGAAGACAGTATGTACAAGAAGGAGCCAGGAAAGTATTCATGGGAATGGAATTTGAGGATAATAAATCGTGAAGGGTAGAATATAAAGTTAGATAAGGAAGAGTTTAACAAAATGAGAGCAATTATTTGTGATACAGGAAATAACATCCTGGCAAGAAACTCTGGAGAGTGCATGACTCTTTTTGAAATCCTGAAACAGGTGATGGCCCACACTAGGTGAAGTAAAATGCCAGGAGTGCCATGGCAGATGGTAAAGGATGGGATCAAAAGGTTTATGGAAAGGAGCATGTCAGAAGGGATAGACTATGTAGGGCAGGAAAATCCACCAGCCAACTCTGTTCCAAAGGAGGGCTTAAGGAACAATCTATGTAGCAAAGCAATAAGCAATGTGATTGTGAGAGGGGTAACACAATTATTGAGAAGTTTTGGTGGATAATCTCTAGAGGCCAAGGCTAACAGGAGAGTTACTGTTACATAACTGTGATTCCTGATAGTAGTGAGATGATAGGCACTTCACCATCAATAGCAAGCTGGGTGCAATTATTGTAACGTGTAGCAAGGTTGCAGTAGCAACCTGAACAGTATAAACCTCTGAGATAGTTTGGAATGTTCCCACACAGTCTCATATTGAAATGCAATCCTCAGTGTTGGAAGTGGGGCCTGATAGGGGGTGATTTGATCATGGGGACAGATTTCTCTTGAATGGTTTTGCACCATCCCCCTTGGTACTGTCCTCGCAATAGTGTGTGAATTCTCCTGAGATGTTATCATTTAAAAGTGTGCAGCGCCACCTTTACTCTTTTGCCCCTGCTCTGACCATGTGATGTGCCTGCTTCCCCTTCACCTTCTGCCATGATTGTAAGTTTCCTGCAGCCTCCCCAGAAGCTGAACAAATACCAGCATCATGTTTCCTGTACACCCTGTAGAGCTGTAAGCCATTTTAGCCTCTTTTTTAAAAAATAAATATACAGTCCCAAGTATTTCTTTATAGCAATGGAAGAACAGCCTAATACATTTTTTAAGAGCCTAATGTTTCTAGGGGCCATGTTTATGAACAGTCAACAATAATGATGCTTAATTTATTTAAACAACAACAAAAAATCAAGGATAGGTGACTGCGAGGCTAAAAACCTGCCTCAATAAACAGGCACAATCTCTTGTCAATTTCCAGACTTGGGCCAGATCTCAGACCAAGAATCCACTGGCTGAAGAAGCTGAATTCCCAGGAAGAAGGACCCTGCAATCCCATGACAAACGTGTGTAGAAATAATTTCCCCAATCTTTCCACGTAAGAGACCCTGTGCACTGTGGTAACTGTGCGCTGTAGAAATGAGAAAACAAGACATTTTGAGGATTGTTGGTTACAGGGTTTGAAGAGACATTGATTGCAAGCATCACAATGAGTCCTCTGCTGAAATAGGGACATATAAAGGGCAAATAAAATTAATAGACTATTGGCCTTGTCTGGCTCACAATGAGTCTACTAGGTGTATAAATCACTCCATGTTTATTTCTCAATTCTCCAAATGTATAACTGGCATGGGTAGACTTTGTACTTGTCAGAGACCTCACTTGGGGTCTTTGGCTTCTGTGTGGGGTTAGAGCTATCATAGTGAGAAAGGCCAACTGGAAGCTTCAATACCTGATATGGTTTGGCCATGTCCCCACCCAAATCTCATCTTGAATTGTAGCTCCCATAACTCCCACATGTTGTGGAAGGGATCCAGTGGGAGACAATCGAATAATGGGGGTGGTTTTCCCCATACTGTTCTCATTGTAGTGAATAAGTTTCACAAGAACTGATGGTTTTATAACCTCTTTTGCTTGGTTCTCAATCTCTCTTGCCTGCTGTCATGTAAGATGTGTCTTGCTCCGCCTTCACCTTTCACCAGGATTGTGAGGCCTCCCCAACCATATAGAACTGTGAGTCAATTAAACCTCTTTCCTTTGTAAATTACCCAGTCTTAGGTATGTCTTTACCAGCAGTGTGAGAATAGACTAATACAATACCCCACAGCTTTTGCCATGAAAGTACATCAAAAGCATATTACATTCCTGAGGGACTGGCAAATATTGATGCCTCTCATTAAGAACTAGAAGGGTGGGGGTTATCATTACACCTCATTTAATTTACCAGTCTGATCTACAATAATCAGTTGGACCACGACAGAGAAAAGCTACTGCAAGCTCAAATATAACTAGGTCATATGTGGTATTCTGTAGTCTCAATTGCAGCTGCTGTGCCGCTGTATGTGGTATATTTGCTGTAGTAGGTTAACATAGTCTCAGTTACATGGTTTGTAGCCATCATTTGGTGAATGTATTCTTTTCCATCACCATCAGGAAAAAAGACCAAAAAGAGTTCAGTTTCATGTGGCATGGATAATAGTATCTGTATTAGTCTGCTTGCACTGCCATAACTAAATACCACAGATTTGGTGGTTTAAACAGCAGAAATTTATTTTCTCACAGTTCTAGAGGCTGGAAGTCCAAGATCCAGATGCCAGTCCAAGATCTGGTTTTTGGTGAGGACTTTCTTCCTGGCTTGTAGATATCTGCTTTCTCACTGTCTCCTCACCTGGCCTTTCTTCTAGCACCCCTTGTAAGGACACCAGCCCTGTTGGATTAGGACCTCACCCTATGACCTCCTTTAATCTTAATTACTTCCTTAAAGACTCAATCTTCAAATACAGTCACATTGGGGCCTCAATAAAAAGGCTTTTCGGGGGACACAATTGAGTCCATAACAGTATCCATTTGTAGACTTGCCCCAAGTCTATGCTAACAATTCCACCTTCTGTTATAAAATAGTCAGAAGGGATCTGAACTGTCTCCACACCTTATAAAGCATCATGTTGGTCTACTACATCAAGGGCATCATACTAATTAAACCTGATGATTGAGAAGTGGCAAGTCCCCCCTCAAAAAAAGTAAGTATGTGGGGTAATGCATATCTTAAATAGCTTGATTTAGCCATTCCACAATGCATATATACGTATATATATATATATACACACACACACACACACACACATATATGCACTAGAAATATATACAATATATATGCACTAGAAATATATACAATTCTTACTCATCAGTTAAAAAAATCAATTTTAAAAAGTGGCAAATATATTGGAGGCCCATGGTGAGATATATGTACTTCAAAGGATAGAAAATAAGCCCTACAAAGGAGTCCACCACATCAACAAGGTATTTAGGAATCCATGATAGAGGGAATGGCAGGACACCTCCCTAATAAAGGACAAAGTATTGAATTTTGCAATTTGTCTTGCTAAGAAGAAAGCACCATGACTGATAGGCTTCTTTGGGTACTAAAGGCATAAAATTCCACACTTGAGTATATTGCTCCAACCCATGTATCAAACAACACAGAAGTTTGCCTGCTTTGAGTGAAGCTTAGAGCAGGAAAGTATCTTACAGCATATCCAGGCTGTGGTGCAAGCAGCCTTATGTTTGGACCATATGACCTTTGTGTTATTAAAGTTATCTATGGTGGAAAAGTTGCCATGTGGACGTTATGGAAAAATCCCAATAGGAGAATAACAATGAAGACCCATAGGATCTGGAACAATGGCAAACTGTCTGCATCAGAAAACTATAAACCATTTGAAAAATATCTCTAGAAATGTTATTGGGCCATGGAAGGTTGGAGCAGTTGGCCATAGGGTATCAATGCAGCCAGAACTGTCCCTCACAAACTGCAGTTCTGTTGGATCCACAAAATCATAAGGACCATCAGCAATTAATATTAAGTTGGAAATAGAATATTAGAGATTGTGCACAAGCAGGCCAAAGTACTAAGTAAGCACACAGAAGATAACTAAACAATCAAGTAGACAAAATTACTTGCCAGCTGAAATTAGCTAGCCTCTGCCATTGGTATTACTCAATGCTGGCACAAAGGGCTCAATAGGGGGGTAGCTATGGAAGTAGGTATGGAAGATGAACTTGGGGTCAACAATATAGGCTCACACTTACCAAGGCTGATCTAGTTTCACGTGCTGCTGGATGTTCAACCTATTAACAGAAATAAATTCCAATATTGTGCCCCTGATGTTGCACGTTTCCTCAAGAAAATCAGCAAGCCACTTGTGGCAAGTTAATTACAATGGTATACATTTCCACACTGGAAGGTGCAGCGATTTATTTAGAGTGAACTTGATGTATATTCTGCATATAGAGTTGCCTTTCCCATAATGTGAACAGCATTAGATAAGGGCTCACAGGTTGTTTGAACCACTGACATGAGATTCCATAATCTCTTTGAACTAAGGGATCCACTTAATACAAAAGAATGTGTAATAGTGGGTAAATAACCATGTGATGCAGTGGTCCTATTATATACAGCCAACCTGACAGAATGATGGTATTACCTGTGAAGTGAAAGCAAAGGTACTGTTTTGCAAATGATATCTGCGAGGAAGGGTTTTATCCTCTAAAATGTCGTGTACCCCTTAATTGATAATCATATGGTGTGGTATCCCCGATAGATAAATGTCAGATTTCTTTTGCATGATAGAGGCAGGGAAGAACACATATGCTACCCTGTTGACCCACTGGAAGGTTCCTTTAGCACTCCCCTGTCCTATTTTGATGGTAAGTGGACAAGTGCAGCAGCATTTGTAGCCTGGGACCATTTTCAGTGAGCGGAACTACGTTGTACCCCATCGACTGTTGTCTTAGGTTTTCCCAGAAAAGAGAGCCACCTGAATCCTGGAGATGAGGCTTCCTGATGGGGTAAACTTACAATACAAAACAAGTGCTCTGATGTGTCCACTAGATCCCTCTCCAAGGCTGAGACACTAATTCCTCCCTCTGTGAGTAATGCTGGCCACTGATAGCTTACAGCTATGTGACTTTCCTGGAAATTCCCCTTAGCTGATGGACACTGCCTCACACAATTTTCACTCCAAAGGAAGCACTTGTCCAAGGTCCATACCATTTAATGTGGGATATAAAGGCTTAATTAACTACCTCCTTCAACTCGGGTCCACTCTCCATGGCCACCCCAATTCTAGAGCTCCCAATCATGGTTCCCTCACTCCCTTACAGACTTTTTTCTGAAATTATTTTCCAGTGAACTTTTGGCTTGTATTATCCTCAGAATTTGTTTCCTTGTAAACCCAATCAAGACACAACAAATTACTGTGTTCCCAAATGAAAACTTATTTAACTTTGCATGATTTTGGACTTTATATGGATGGATGCTTGCAGTCTGTATTTCTTTGTGCCTTTCTTTTTTCATTCAATATTATATACTTGAGATTCATCAATTTTGAATCATCTAATGACAGTCTGTTAATTCTCACTGCTGTATAATATCCAAAGAATCCATATACTACAATTTATGTATTCTTTCTTCTCTTGATGGACATTTGGTCCTTCAAGACCATTGACCCACTGCGAGGCTCTTCTAGCACTCTCCTGTCCTATTTTGACGGTAAGTGGACAAGTGCAGCTGCATTTGTAGCCTGGGACCATTTTCGGTGAGCGGAATTACATTTTATCCCATTGACTTTTGTCTTAGGTTTTCCCAGAAAAGAGAGCCACCTGAATCCTGGAGATGAAGTTTTCATTTTTCTTTTGATATTATAAATAATGATACTAAAACATTTTGTACCCATGTCTTGATGGATACAATAGTTTCTGTACAGTATTGTAATGCTCATTCTCTTTGCAGCAACACCAATCTTAGATTTGGATTGACAAGCATACAAATGAAACCAATCAGCTTCACCCAGCAGCAAGTTTGAATGTAGCTTTTAGAAAAGATAAGGGCAGCCAACAATGCGTGCATAGCAACAGCAAAGCAGAGGTCTCGTAATTTTCAGAAGCTGCTTCCTGTGCTCTAATCACTTTGTACTAGAGCATAGTCACAGAAGATGCAGCTGAATGTGTGTGGACCACCTTAGTTAGCAACAGCCATTCAGTTTAGAGACCTATCAATATTTATACCTTGATAGCAATGTAATCTCCTAAGGAATCTGTGATGGCTTCCATCTTTTTGTGCAGCTGCATGCCAGCCATTCAATGAAGAATCTTGATGACCACATATGTGGCTCAGTACATAGCACCCTCAGAGGGATTCTCGTTTATCTTGGACCTTGTATACTCTTATACATTCCTTGCACTAGTGTTGCAAGGGATTTCAATAAGAGTCAAAACCTCATATCTGACATTGAAGAAGAAATTACAGTCCAGCTGTTAAAACTTCCCTTTCAAATATAAGAGTAGAATTGCTAGGGCAGAACAAATGTGCACATTTGTCTTTATAGGTACTGCCAAACTTTTCCAAAGTGGATGTACCAATTTGCATTCTCACCAGCAATAAATGAAATTTATTTTGCTTCACATCTTCGGAAACTCTGAGATTGTCAGATTTCTCAGTTTTGGCAATTGAATGGATATACAGGGATATCTTATTATAGTTTGAATTTGCACTGCTATATCAGTAATAAAATTGAGCGGTTTTGCATAGGTTGATATACTACTACTATTTTCTCAATATGAAATACCTATTCATTTTGTTACCTATTTATCTATATAATTATTGGTCTGTTTCTACTGATTTTAGGAGTTCTTCATATCATGTGAATACAAATTCTATATCACTATGTATCACAAATATGTTTAACTGGTTTATACTTGTCTTCTCCCTTTCTTTAAAACATTTATTTTAAACTCCAGAGGAATTTGTAGTCTTACTGTGTGGTTTGTGATATTCACATCATGTTTAATAAACCATTCCCTACCCCAGAGACATAAAGATATTCTCACATGGATTTATAGAAGGTTTCAATCCCCTTGGAATTTAGTTTTGTATTTTGATGTCTGTGTGAGACAGAAATATTTTACACACACACACACATACACCAGTTTATGGGCAACTTTATAACTAGTTCATTCTTTCACCAATGATCTGCAATGTTTGTCTTATGTTGCGCCAAATATCAAGTTTTACATATAGCAGGATTTGTTGTTGAAATTTGAAATATCGTGTGGTTTTATTTTTTACTGTAACTCTGGAGAATAACATTTAAGAAATTTTAATATGAAACCAGATTCCTTTTTTTTTTTTTTTTTTTGAAACAGAGTCTTGCTCTGTTGCCCGGGTTCAATCTTGGCTCACTGCAACCTCTGCCTCCCGGGGTCAAGCAATTCCCCTGCCTCAGCCTCCCAAGTTGTTGGGATTACAGGCATGTGCCAGCACGTCCAGCTAATTTTTGTATTTTTAATAAAGTTTCACCATGTTGGCCAGGCTGGTCTTGAACTCCTGACCTCAAGTAATCCACCCATCTCAGCCTCCCAAAGTGTTAGGATTACAGGCATGAGCCACTGCGCCTGGCCTCCATTTTTTAACTGAACCTAAATTGGCCAATTATCTTGCTTGTACATTGCTCAATTCAATTTGGTAGTGTTTTGTCTAGGAATCTTGCACCTATGTTCATGAATGTTATAGGCTTGTAGCTTTTTTAACTTGTATTATCCTTGTCTGATTTGACTATCCAAGGAATGGAAGCATCATAAAACGGGAGGAGAGTGTTTCTTCTTTTTTCTATTAGGTATGTGAAAATAAGGAAATATCTATTATTTGTATGTATGTTTAGACCTGTGTGTGTGTGTGTGTGTGTGTGTGTGTGTGTGTGTGCATATAAGATATACACCTTAGGGGAGGATACAGGAAACGGAACTTTTAACTACTAACTTGATATCTAATTATTAAATCATAATGTTATTCAGGTTTTCTAGTTTTCTTGTCAATATTTTATTTTTCTAATAATGTATCTACTTCATCTATGTTTTCAAATTTGTTGGGATTATTTTATATAATACAGTATCTTAGTATATTTTAATTCTTAGATATTGTGTATATGTGGTGATTGTAGAAACCTTGCATTTTCTACCAAAGAAAATTTTCACTTAATAAAATTTGTAATCAAGATAAATATTTAATTAATTTAATTTATGATATTCTTAAAAAGAAAAGGAATAGTAATTTATTCATTAATGATGGGGTTATTCACTTTACATAAATATTAGGTGGCCAATTTTTTTTTTCAGACACATAATATATACTCCTACTCCTGGAAGGTAAGAAGTTTAAAATAAATCTTTGCAGAACAATGTTGTCAGGTACCAGCTTATGTCTACTATTACTGAAAAGAAGAGGTATTATTTTTAAATTCCAGTGACTTTCGCAATAAATCCAATTATTAGACACACAAATACAAACAAATGTATGTAAGAAGGTACATGTATCTTACAATTTTATAAAGGACTGCTTATATTTCCTTCTTTTTACACAAGCCACAGGCAAATTTCTCTGAGGCCAAACTCAAACATTTACCACTCTATTGAAGTCCCAGAAGGTATACATTCTGAGATACAAATGAGATCTTAGAAAATTTCTCCTGATTTATTCTTCAAATGTCAATTACCTGTGGTAAACCAATTTTATTTCAATTCTCAGTGGACTAGAAACAAATAAAACACTTTATATTTAAGTAAAGAAATGTTGGTACATATATTTCTAACTACAGAGGGATTATTGAAAGGAAACTGTACTTACAAATTGCATGCCTCTGCTATTTTCTATGCCCTATAGAGCTGGTTGATTTGTCAGTTAACAAAATATAATATACCCAAACTAATGTTTTAAAAATATTTTCAAAAGAGAAACACTGAAGAGTATTGATGCTTGAGAAAATAAATGTATTGTGAAAGAAATTGTGATTTTTTAATAGTTAGGCATTCTTAGTTATGTAGGTGTTACTTCAATTGCTTTTCCCTACTTATATAAGAATAATATCTAACAAAGTTCTAAAAGAGATTAGATACATTATATAGCATAATTACTAGATTTCTAAAAGACAGCAAAGTCAGTGCATGCTGAGGCTGGTGGTTCTTACCTTTTAAAAATATTTTCCAAAAGAAAATGAATTTGAAAAATCTTAATTGAGTAAACTAATACTTGGCATACTGTTTATGCTGAGCAAAATTATAACACCAGGACTAACAATATCTTTACCCACACATGAGAGAGGTTAATTTCTTACAAGTTTATCTTATACTGTTTCGCAATGAATACATGGCAACTGGGTAGATTTTTCCCCCAGTGGCTTTCCTATGTTTGTTTTGAAACTTTTATTTTGCATATTCATTTTGAAAAGGTAATTTCTAGCCTCCTGGGTTTTTACCACTGATAGTGTATCAAAATCCAATTTGATACCTGTTATTAATACTGTCTATTTTTAATAAGGAAATAGTACTGGGCAGTGACCAGGGGATGGGCAGCAGTGCAAGGGAGGATGGAAACCATGTGTAATGAATTAGCAGCAGAAAAGATTATGTGCAGAAAGGAATAATTAATATGATCTTGCTCATTCCTTCAACTTATTTACCACATACCTGTTAGAATCCAGGCATTGCACTATGTCTGGTGTTACAGTGATGAGCTAAAGCAAGAATGTTCTTGGCTGTCATATAGCTTACAACCTAATGGAAGATCATTATTTGAATAATCACACAATTGCAAAATTACAGAGATAAGAGCTTGAAAGAACAGGAGCTAGTTGCTATTAAAGTATATAACAAAGGAATCTGACCTATATTAGGGTGGGCATGATGGGACATTTCCATATGGACATTAAGTTTAAGCTAAGTAAGATATAAATGATAAGTAGGAATACACAGGGAAAAAATTCTTGGGTGGAAGAAAGAACCTTCCAAGAAAAGAAAAGCAGGTGAAAAGATTGTGATGTGCCAGATACTGATAAAAGGCTTTTAACTACTAGAACAGGGCGAACAACAAGAAAAGTAGCTCAAGATAAGGCTTGAAAGTCAGGCAGAAACCATTTCACACGGGACCTTGGAGGCCTTGTGAAAAATTTTAGCCTTTATTTTAAGAACAGTATGAAGCCAGCAAAGACTTTGATTATATTTTCATGTATGTTAGTGTATAGACCAAATTGCTGTAACAACAACAAAACACTAATGTATTGGTTCAAACAAGATTGAAGTTTATTTTTCTCTCCTGTATAATAGCCTGAGGTAGATAGGCAGCTCTCTTGCAAAAAGCCATCCATTGATCCAAGCTGGTAAGTCACTCTGGCATCTTTATCATAATGCTTCCTTATTTCCTCCAGATTTTTATTTCTAGTGAGTAGGAAGGGAGAAGAGAAAGTATAATGCAAAGGTCTTTGTCTTTAATGAGATGTATATGACATTTCCACTCATATCATATTGGCCTGAACTAAGTCACATGAGTAAAATATTAATTTTCGATATAGGTTGTTTTCATTTTAAACTGTTTAATGGCTGCTGCATAGGCATTTACCTAAAGACAGCTAGGAGCAGGGAAGGCATAATAAGCATTTTTAAATTATCTGAAGCAGAGCTTAAACATGGGTGACATAAATGTGAGTTAATCAGAAAATATAGCAATAGTCAGGTGTTGACAAGCCCTAATAATTTATAGTACCTCTTTCTGAAGAAAGCCTTCACTATTAAGTGTGATTTGACTATAATTCAGTTATCATTTTTTGCATACAACTTAGAAAAGTGTGCACCAAAACTGACATATCTATGAAGCATTGACATTGAGATAGTCATCAACGAGACAGCTACCAAACAGAATTTGGTGTGGGAATTGAGAAGGACTTCAAGGTTCTTATTAGTTTGAATGAAAGGTATCTTGGTTCTGGTGAAAGCTCATTTGGGAAAAAAAAATGAATTCAGTTCACTCACTAAATTCAATAAACAATTACCAAGTCCCAGTGCTGAGTTGTTGGAAAATACAAAGAAGACACAATTTCTGCGAAGATATTTGTGTAACTAATCATGATGGTGAATAGTTATAATGAAGTATGTGCATGATACTGTAGCTGCAAAAAATTTATTTAGAATTTGTTATTTAGAATAATAAACTATTGTAAAGAGGGAAATTTATACTGCAAGGAAGAGAACATGGTTAATCTGGGTTATGAAATATAAATTCCAAGTTGTCCAAGGAACAATAAGAAAGCATTTTAGTTAGACGGAATTATATGTGTTAAGTTGCAAAGAATAGAGTTGTAAATATTTATTGCATGTGTATTATGAACTAGGAACTTTTTAGTTTTTGGAGATAAAACATGAATGATATCACCAAAAAAATCCCTATCTTCATCAAACTTATTATATAGTTGGGGAGGAACATAATAAACAAACGAATGAAATAGTATGTCTGATTAGCATTTTGGGAGGCTGAGGAGGGTGGATCACTTGAGGTCAACAGCTTGAGACAAGCCTGGCCAACATGGTGAAAATCTATCTTTAGTAAAAAGTAAATAAATAAATAAAAATAAATAGTATGTCAGATTAGAAGTGCTATGGAGAAAAGAAACATGAAAGGGAGAGAGAGAGTACTGTGGCTGGAAGAACAAAAAATGGTGGTATTTTGAAGGATTGCATCTGGAGTAAGTATAACTGATAAAGGGGTGTTTGAGGAGATAGCTGAAGAAAGGGAGGAAACGTGTCAAACAGCTATGGTGTGTATGGTGTGTGGTGGTGATGGTGGGAGGTGTTTCAGGAAGAACAGTAACTGCAAAGTTTCCGAGGCAAAAACGAGTTTTGATACATTAAAAAGATAACAAAAACAGTGTCATAGAAGTGGAATTAACAAGGATAAGAATGGAAAAAAATGAGCCAAGAGGGCCAGCAGGAACTACATCATGTAGGGCCTTACAGGTTATTGTTCAAACTTTGGCTTTTACTCTTAGTAAAATGGGAAGCTATTGTACCCTTGGAGTGATATGATTTAATTTAGGATTGAAAAGTATCTTCATGGCTTCTCTAATGAGAATATACAGTAGAAAAGGAAAGGTGAAAGTGAATAATACGGTTAGGAGGCTACCAGAATAATCCAATATAGCCGTTTGAAAAAATGCACATTGAGTTGCACAAAAAGAAAATGAGCATAGAGAAGTAGGTCAAGGTCAAATAACAATGCTCTTGTATGCCATGAAAAGAGATAAACTTACTCTTCTAAGATGAGGAACTATTTAAGGATTTTAAGAAAGATGATAATTTGACCAGTTAGCACCAGAGGCAAATTAATCCCAGTCCTGAACTATAGCCCACACTCCCAGTATTGTTATTTCTGTCTTCATATCAGCTTTATTTCATATATTTATATTTTTTTCATTCAGCAAGAAACATAGCTGGCAACAGATCCTGGTCTCACATCTTACACTGTTTTTATTTAGGGTGCCTAACCTCCATCTTTTCTGATTGGTCTTGCACCAGAGAGCAGGGTCTTCTGATGGGCATCCTCCACTGAAAGCACATGTTTGGGGTTCTGCTTCTTCCTAGGATATGGTAAAGTTGGAAAGAAGTCCACATCTACCCCCAACAATGAAAAAAGCTAGATAAACCACAAAGCATAATTTTTTTAAACCTGTCAGAGATCTGAATGACAGGGAAACTTAATAGACAGAAATTCAAGGAAGTATAGACCCCTGTAAGAAGTGAGGGGATGTACAGATGGTTTCACCTTTGTCAGAGTATAGAAAGAACTGTGCTGGCTGCCGTACAGTGGCTAAGAAGAAATCAGCTAAACTGTTAACACATTTCTAAAGGCTGAGTGTGGGATAGAGTGACAGTGTAGAAACCCGGGAAGACCCAGACAAAATGAGATTTTGTACACACTCACAGACTCTTTTTCATGACCTCTGCCAGGTGCTCATGGGAAAAACTGGCATTGGGGAAGGAGACTAGAGAAAGTTTCCCTTGGTATTGAAGCCAATGAGAAAGGATCATGTGCCCTTCGGCACACAACTCTACTTCTCATCTAGAAATTTCTTGAACACAGCAGAATGTTTAAGCCAGAGAGGTGGGTGGGGAGAGAGAAGAGGGAAAGAGAATGTCAGAGAAGAACAATTCCTTGAAATGACAGTGACTAAGAATCTCCCCGAAATAATGAAAGACATCAAATTGCTTGCAAAAACTTGAGCATGTATAGCAGGATAAATGTGATCACACACACACACCATACAGTAAAGACACCTGTTTAGGCACATAATATTCAAACTGTCAAAGCAAAGTACAGAAAATTATAAAGCCTGCCAAAGTAAAAGTGACACAACACAGAGAAAGAGAACAGAATTACATCAGACTTCACGTCAGAAATTGCTAACTGAAAGAACAATGAAGTGACATTTTTGAAAGTACTGAAAGAATAAAAAAGGTCAATCTGGAATGATATACTTAGTGAAAACTTCAAAACAAAAGCTAAATAAAGAATCAAATGTCAGAAATTGCAATATTGAACTAAAAAGCAAGATCCAGCTATTTTGCTCCCTACAAAATGGTATAGTTTCACACACAATTAAGTTGAAAGTAAAAGGTATACTCTGCAAACAATGATTGTAAGAGAGCTGAAGTGGCCATACTAATATCAGATAAAGTAAATTTTAATACAGAATTAATATTGGAGAGAAAGACGGATGTTTTGTAATGATAAAAGTGTCAATACGGGCCGACTTATGCCTGTAATCCCAGCACTTTGGGAGGCGAGGTGGGTGGATCACAAGGTCAGGAGTTCGAAACCAGCCTGGCCAATATGTTGAAACCCTGTCTCTGCGAAAAATACAAAAACCAGCTGGGTATGGTGGTGCATGCCTGTAGTCGCAGCTACTTAGGAGGCTGAGGCAGAAGAATCACTTGAACCTGGAAGGCAGAGGTTGCAGTGAGCTGAGATCGTACCACTGCACTCCAGCCTGGGTGACAGAGCAAGACTCCATCTCAAAAACAAAAACAAAAAAAACAAAGTGTCAATACATGAAGAAGATATAATAATCATAAATGTGTATGCACATTATAACAGTGCCCTAAAATACATAAAAAACTTACATAATGTAAAAACCAAATAATTAAACAATTATACATGAAGATTTTAATGTTCACTTCTCAGTAATAACTAAGACTATACTATTTTCTGTTTAATCACTAAACAGAAAAGAAGAATATAGATTTGAACAACACTATCAACTTGATAGAACACTCTATCCCCATGGTTCATAAGAGGAAATAAGTATATACCTTCGAGTTCATCAAAATGTAAAACATTTATCTCCAAGATGGTCATTAATAAAGTGAAAGGACAAGCCACAGACCGAAAGGAAATATTTCTAAATCATGTATCTGTTAAGCACTTCTATGCAGAATATATGAAAAATTTTGCAACTTAAATAAAAAGACCACTCAATTTTCATAGTTGGTAAAGGCTATGAATAGACACCAAAGATTATATGTGAATAAGAAACAATTGTGAGATTCTTAATATATTATCTGATAGGGAACTACAAATTAAACCACAATGAGATAATACAACATTCCCAATGGAATTGCTGTCATAAAAAAAGATACTATTATTTTTGAAGATACAGAGAAACTGAGACATTCATACATTGTTGGTGGGAAATCAAAATGGTACACAACTTTGGAAAAGAGCACGGTCACTTATTATGACGTTAAACATACACATACCATAGGACCCAAAAATTTCACTCTTAGGTAGTTACCCAAAAGGAGTGAAAATATATGTCCACATAAAGACATGTATGTATGTGTCTTAGCACCTTCATTCTTATTCAACATAAACTAGAAAAATCTAAATGAACATCAACTGGTGAATGGCTAAACAATTTGTGACATTTCCATATAATGACACACTACTCAGCAATTAAAAGGAATCAATTACTGATAAATGAAGAAACATAGATGATCTTTAATAATTTAATGCTGAGTGAAAAAAAGTCAGACATAAATAATACATATTTATATTATTATATTTACATGAAATTTCTAGAAAAGGCAAAGTTACAGATGTAGAATACAGATTGGTGGTTTCCTGGGAATGGGGTGGGATGGGGAGCTGACTGTAATTGGTTATGTGGGGAAGTGCTTTGGACCAGTGGTTTCCAACTTCTTGGCATCAGGGACTGGATTTATGGAAGACAATTTTTCCATGGATAGGGGCAGCAGTGGTAGGGGGACGGTTCGGGAAGAAACTGTTTCATCTCAGATCATCAGGCATTGAACTGATTCTCAAAAGGAGCGTGCAACCTGGATCCCTCGCATGTGCAGTTCACAACAGGGTTCACGCTCCTATAAGAATCTAATAATGCCCTCGCTGATTTGACAGGAGGCGGAGCTCAGGTGGTAATTATGCAGCCCAGTTCCTAACAGGCCACGGTCCGATTGGCGCCCCCTGCTTTGGACAATGGAAGTGTTTTAAAAAAAATTGTGGTTATGGTTGTGTGACTGTATGAAATTACTAACATTTCCTGAACTGTACACTTAAGCTGAATTTTATAGTGTGTTAATTACACCTCAGTAAAACTTTTTTTCAAAATATAGAAGGAGAAAAAGAAAAGCTTCTTAGTGAGGAATGATCTAATTCTATCTAACATAATTTTCTTGTCGCCTCTCTGACTTGGATGAGCTATTCTGTTATACTCACTTCTGTATTGAAGAGGGACATGGAAAGATTCACCTCTCTCCCTCTTCATCTCTCCCTTTTTCAATCAAATGGGAGGATCACAGTTAAATAAGCTGAAAATAAGGACTGACTCCATTGTTAAATTTAGAAGGTTCAGTCTGTGATCAGTATATATTCAGCCACTTTTCTACAGCCTTTTCTATAACAATGATTTTGAGAAGGTGAACTCTTGTTAATCATTGAGGGGAAAGTCATATGAAGTTAAATTGCTGCTCTTAACCAAAATGAAAAAAAAATACATACATATTTTGAAATAAATATACAAATACCCATACATACCCATAACATGGGTAGAAACCAATAGGTTTGAGTCCAGTCACAGTTAATGACAAATTAAATTAGTTTTGATAGTTCTTGTTTCTTTTTATCTAGATAGTTGAGGCTTAATCATAGGTATGCTCAAAATCAGTCAGAGAACACGCTAAAATTCTATCATGTAAAAAAGTTTCAAAAATTCCTGCAGTTAATTGATTATTGTATTTACCTCCCTATACAGGTGAAGGGGTACACAAGTGTGAAAATGTGAGGTGAAATTAGCAACCTAAAGGTAATCCAGTGAGAATAGAGAACAGGTATCTACATGGGAATAATAGAAGCATAGGCTATGAAAGGTTTGAAGCCAGCTAATAGAAATCTTAGAAGTCTAGGGATTTTCTTATGAACTACAGCCTATTTTTAACAGAGAAGTTACAAAATGAAAGCAATATTTTATAAGAAATAGAGTAATTGCATAACAGAACTGAAATGGGTGGAAATGGAAGAATAAAGCATTAGGATATATATTTGTTGTAGTAAACCTGGCATGGAGTATTAACTAGGAAAGTGGCATCAGTGATGAAAAAAGCATTAATCACAGTCATCAGTTTTTGAGAATTTTTCTATTCACCAAGCACTGGGCTATAGCTTTTCATTCATTATTTTATTTTATCTTCTCAGAATTTTTGTTAGGAAAATAATATGCCCTGGACATTCAGTGTGACAATTTGGAGTCTGTGGCTTAGACAGGTAAAGAATTTCTCAATATTCCTTAGTTGAGAAATAGTAGAAAAAAAGTACAAACTCAAGTCTTTCTTCTTAACTGTATTTTAAGAAACAAGATTTAATAATGTATATTAAATACATTTAATATATTTGATTAAAGTGGCTGAGGACACCCACTTTAGAAATTCCGGGTGGAATTATTTGTTGGACCTAGAATTTGGATAGTGATTAGGAAAAACCACATTGACAACATGAACCCAAGTAGCAGAATAAGAATTCTGAGATGCTGTTTAACTGTATTGAAGTACTGACACCAGTACTGTTTGGCAGCGGTATATAGCATCTTCAATGTTACTGTGAAGCCTATCCCACATTAACAAGGTATTTCCATTTATCTTTGTAAATAATGTAGAAACTTCTACAAAAGTGGATGGAATACTTAGAAATTATTTTCTAACATGGAGGCATGGATCAAGTTTTAGTTTCCATCATATCAATAATAAAGGCTTTAACTACTTAGGATGTTATGTTGAGATGAACCTTGCAAACAGGGCTGAGATCTCAAAGCACTGAACCATTCAGCCTGCTTTAAACCAAGTTAGAGTCTTTTGTTTGTTTGTTTGTTTATTGTTGTTTGTTTTGAGATGGAGTCTCACTCTGTTGCCAGGCTGGAGTGCAGTGGCACGATCTTAGCTCACTGCAACCTCAGCCTCCTGGGTTCAAGCTGTTCTTGTGCCTCAGCCTCCTGAGTAGCTGGGATTACAGGCATGCGCCACCACACCCAGCTAATTTTTTGTGTTTTTAGTAGAGACGGGGTTTCACCATGTTGGCCAGGATGGTCTCGATCTCCTGACCTCATGAGACGCCCGCCTCGGCCTCCCAAATTGCTGGAATTACAGGCATGAGTCACTGCCCCTAGCCAGTTATAATCTTGAGTTGGCATTAGATAAGCTTTAAACCTTGATTTTCTTTAAAATTGTGTCAACCTCTGACATAGCATTAGTGAAACAAAGCAAAGCAATGATAATTTTTCATTAAGAATTTTCTCGAATATCAAATATTAAAATATTCTCTTATAATTAAACTAATGGGAAAGTCTATATGATAAAGGAATATTTTAAAATATAAATTAAAATCACACTCATGTATTTTATTTCTTAAAAGTGATTATTCTGTCAGTAATAAGTCTGTAGTCTTTAAGACACTACTGATTAATTTTCAGTTTAGTGGATTTAGAGGCATGCAGAAAATATACATCCCAGGAACTCATCAATCAGCCCAATCGTGTGATCAGGAGTCTCTCATTTAAGTAATAATCCCACTTCATATTCATATAGCATTTTATAAATCTGATATCCTTAAATTTGGCAGACATGCTTCATCTGCAACAAAGAAAACAATCAGAATTTGGAATAAGATTTTAATGTGTAATGCCCTAATATATGAGATCAAAGACACCCATCACTTTTTTCAGAAAAAGGAAAATGTGATTACCAAGCTTAAGTGTGCTGTATATTAAATGAAAATCCTGATCATAAAGAAAGGTAATATCTACTCAAAAGTATAATTTCTGTACTTTGAATATCATCTCAGCAAGAATTATCTTTCCCTATCAAATTGTAGCACTTGTCAAAATCAACTGTAAAGCATTTCAAGTGCTCTTCTGAATCAACAAAACAGATGTATAGCGATGTGAGGTTGCAATGAGAAGGAAATAACAGTGAACCAGAGGCCCATCAGTGCCCTTAATCTCTTGAACCCACACTTAACACAGTAGACACTGTAGGTCTTTGGGATGCTACTTATAAGAGGGAAATACAAGGCTGATTTTTAATAATATGTAAAAATATGTAAAAATTATTTTCTTTCTGCTTTGCTGCTAGGCTTGTCCTTTCTTTACATTCCTAAATAGACCACAGACATGTGGTACTGCATTTTTTTTTTTTTTGGTGGGGGAGTGGTTGTTACTAGTAATTATAATAACTCTGATGCAATCTGAGAAATTAGAAGGTAAGGTTGTAGAAGACAATAAGGGAGTAATTATTTTATCACAGGTAAAATTTTGCTTTTACCTTTGCTTTTTAATCAAATTCTTTCCCTGCGTTACTGATCAGCAGTTCTTTCCTTTTGTTTGACAGTGTATTTCAGCATTTAGGACCAGACATTCTGTAGTCAGACTATCAGGATGAATTCCTAGCTCTGCATTCTATTGTGTGAGCTTGGGCAAATTAGTTCACCTCTCTACGCCTTATAGGAAAAATGGAGATGATAACAACAATGCCCACCTCATGCGGTTGTTTGAGGATGCCCTGAAATGTTCCTTGTAAGGCACTGAAAATACTGCCAAGGACTTAGTATTCAAATATGATTCTTAGATTTTTTTTCTCGTCAATAATATTCAAATGCTATGGTTCTCTTTGTTAATTGAGCATAACCAAATAATTCTTACTAATGTTCTCTAGCATACTGTAAGAAAAAATTAAAATTTGAGTCTTTGAGATTATGTTTATAATTGGTACGTATATTTCAACATAACAATGAAAGTAATCTTTTTTTCAGAATAGTAAAAAGACATCATTATCAGAATCTCAATGTATTAAGTAGCTAGTAATTTTTTTTTATTATACTTTAAGTTCTAGGGTACATGTGCACAACGTGCAAGTTTGTTACATAGTTATACATGGGCCATGTTGGTTTGGTGCACCCATCAACTCGTCATTTACATTAGGTATTTCTCCTAATGCTATCCCTCCCCCAGCCCCCCATCCCACAACAGGCCCCAGTGTGTGATGTTCCCCGCCCTGTGTTCAAGTGTTCTTATTGTTCCGTCCCCACCTATGAGTGAGAATATGCAGTGTTTGGTTTTCTGTCCTTGTGATAGTTTGCTGAGAATGATGGTTTCCAGCTTCACCCATGTCCCTGCAAAGGACATGAATTCATCCTTTTTTATGGCTGCATAGTATTCCATGGTGTATATATGCCACATTTTCTTAATCCAGTCTATCAATGTTGGACATTTGGGTTGGTTCCAAGTCTTTGCTATTCTGAATAGTGCCACAATAAACATACATGTGTATGTGTCTTTATAGTAGCATGAATTACCATCCTTTGGGTATATATCCAATAATGGGATAGCTGGGTCAAATGGTATTTCTAGCTCTAGATCCTAGAGGAATTGCCACACTGTCTTCCACAGTGGTTGAACTAATTTACACTCCCATAACAGTGTAAAAGCATTCCTATTTCTCCACATCCTCTCCAGCATCTGTTGTTTCCTAACTTTCTAGTGATCACCATTCTAACTGGCCTAAGATAGTATCTCATTGTGGTCTTGATTTGCATTTCTCTGATGACCAGTGATGACGAACATTTTTTCACATGTCTGCTGGCTGCATAAATGTCTGCTTTTGAGAAGTGTCTGTTCGTATCCTTTGCCCACTTTTGGATTTTTTTTTCTTGTATATTTATTTAAGTTCTTTGTAGATTCTGGATATTAGCCCTTTGTCAGATGGGTAGATTGCAAAAATTTTCTCCCATTCTGTAGGTTGCCTGTTCACTCTGATAATAGTTTCTTTTGCTGTGCAGAAGCTCTTTAGTTTAATTAGATCTCATTTGTCTATTTTGGCTTTTGTTGCCATTGCTTTGGTGTTTTAGTCATGAAGTCATTGCCCATGCCTATGTCCTGAATGATATTGCCTAGGTTTTCTTCCAGGCTTTTTATGGTTTTAGGTCTAACATTTAAGTCTTTAATCCATCTTGAATTAATTTTTGTATAAGGTGTAAGGAAGGGATGCAGTTTCAGCTTTCTACATATGGTTAGCCAGTTTTCCAAGCACCATTTATTAAATAGGGAATCCTTTCACCATTTCTTGTTTTTGTCAGGTTTGTCAAAGATCAGATGGTTGTAGATGTGTGGTATTTCTGAGGTCTCTGTTCTGTTCCACTGGTCTATATATATCTGTTTTGGTAACATTATCATGCTGTTTTGGTTACTGTAGCCTTGTAGTATAGTTTGAAGACAGGTCGTATGATGCCTCCAGCTTTGTTCTTTTTGCTTAGGATTGTCTTGGGTATGTGGGCTCTTTTTTGATTCCATATGAACTTTGAAGTAGTTTTTGCCAATTTTGTGAAGCAAGTCATTGGTAGCTCGATGGGGATGGCATTGAATCTATAAATTATGTTGGGCAGTATGGCCATTTTCACGATACTGATTCTTCCTACCATGAGTGTGGAATGTTCTTCCATTTGTTTGTGTCCTCTTTTATTTCTTTGAGCAGTGGCTTGTAGTTCTCCTTGAAGAGGCCCTTCACATCTCTTGTAAGTTGGATTCCTAGGTATTTTATTCTCTCTGTAGCAGTTGTGAATGGGAGTTTGCTCATGATTTGGCTCTCTGTTTGTCTGTTATTGGCGTATAGGAATGCTTGTGATTTTTGCATATTGATTTTGTATCTTGAGACTTTGCTGAAGTTGCTTATCAGCTTAAGGAGATTTTGGGCTGAGACGATGGGGTTTTCTAAATATACAATCATGTCATCTGCAAACAGAGACAATTTGACTTCCTCTTTTCCTAATTGACCTGTTTCTTTCACTTGCCTGATTGCCCTGGACAGAACTTCCAACACTATCTTGAATAGGAGTGCTGAGAGAGGGCATCCTCGTCCTGTGCCAGTTTTCAAAGGGAGTGCTTCCAGTTTTTGCCTATTCATTATGATATTGGCTGTGGGTTTGTTATAAATAACTCTTATTATTTTGAGATACGTTCCATTAATACTTAGTTTATTGAGAGTTTTTAACATGAAGGACTGTTAAATTTTGTCGAAGGCATTTTCTACATCTATTGAGATAATTAAGTAGTTTTTCTTGTTGGTTCTGTTTATCTGATGGATTGTGTTTACTGATTTGCCTATGTTGAACCAGCCTTGCATTCCAGGAATGAAGCTGACTTGATTGTGGTTGATAAGCTTTTGGATGTGCTGCTGGATTTGGTTTGCCAGTATTTTATAGAGGATATTTGCATCAATGTTCATCAGGGATATTGGTCTAAAATTCTCTTTTTTTGTTGTGTCTCTGCCAGGCTTTGGTATCAGGATGATGCTAGCCTCATAAAATGAGTTAGGGAGGATTACCTCTTTTTCTATTGATTGGAATAGTTTCAGAAGGAATGGTACCACCTCCTCTTTGTACCTCTGGAAGAATTTGATTGTGAATCTGTCTGGTCCTGGACTTTTTTAGTTGGTAGTCTATTAATTATTGCCTCAATTTCAGAGCCTGTTATTGTTCTATTCAGAGATTCAACTTCTTCCTGGTTTAGTCTTGGGAGGGTGTATGTGTCCAGGAATTTATCCATTTCTTCTAGGGTTTCTAGTTTATTTGCATAGAGGTGTTTATAGTATTCTCTGATGGTAGTTTGTATTTCTGTGGGATCAGTGGTGATATCCCCTTTATCATTTTTTATTGTGTCTATTTTATTCTTCTCTCTTTTCTTCTTTATTAATCTTGCTAGCAGTCTATCAATTTTGTTGATCTTTTCAAAAAAACAGCTCCTGGATTCACTGATTTTTTGAAGGGTTTTTTATGTCTCTGTTTCCTTCAGTTCTGCTCTGATTTTAGTTATTTCTTGCCTTCTGCTAGCTTTTGAATTCATTTGCTCTTGCTTCTCTAGTTCTTTTAACTGTGATGTTAGGGTGTCAATTTTAGATCTTTCCTGTTTTCTCCTGTGGGCATTTAGTGCTATAAATTTTCCTCTACACACTGCTTTAAATGTGTCCCAGAGATTCTGGTACATTGTGTCTTTGTTCTCATTGGTTTCGAAGAACATCTTTATTTCTGCCTTCATTTCGTTACTTACCCAGTAGTCATTCTGGAGCAGGTTGTTCAGTTTCCATGTAGTTGTGTGGTTTTGGGTGAGTTTCTTAATCCTGAGTTCTAATTTGATGGCACTGTGGTCTGAGAGACAGTTTGTTGTGATTTCTGTTTTTTTACATTTGCTGAGGAGTGCTTTACTTCCAATTACGTGGTCAATTTTAGAATAAGTGAGATGTGGTGCTGAGAAGAATGTATATTCTTTTGATTTGGGGTGGAGAATTCTGTAGATATCTATTCATTCCACTTGGTGCAGAGCTGAGTTCAAGTCCTAGATATCCTTGTTAACCTTCTGTCTCATTGAACTAATATTGACAGTGGGGTGTTAAAGTCTCCCATTATTATTGTGTGGGAATCTAAGTCTCTTTTTAGGTCTCTAAGGACTTGCTTTATGAATCTGGGCGCTCCTGTATTGGGTGCATATATATTTAGGATAGTTAGCTCTTCTTGTTGAATTGATGTCTTTACCATTATGTAATGGCCTTGTCTTTTTTGATCTTTGTTGGTTTAAAGTCTGTTTTATCAGAGACTAAGATTGCAACCCTTGCTTTTTTTTTTTTTGCTTTCCATTTGCTTGGTAGATCTCCCTCCATCCCTTTATTTTGAGCCTATGTGTGTCTTTGCACATGAGATGGGTCTCCTGAATACAGCACACTGATGGGTCTTGACTCTTTATCCAATTTGCCAGTCTGTGTCTTTTAATTGGGGCATTTAGCCCATTTACATTTAAGGTTAATATTGTTATGTGTGAATTTGATCCTGTCATTATTATGTTATCTGGTTATTTTGCCCATTAATTGATGCAGTTTCTTCATAGCATCAATGGCCTTTACAATTTGGCATGTTTTTGCAGTGGCTGGTACTGGTTGTTCCTTTCCAAGTTTAGTGCCTCCTTCAGGAGCTCTTGTAAGGCAGGCCTCTTGGTGACAAAATATCCCCACATTTTCTTGTCTGTAAAGGGTTTTATTTCTCCTTCACTTTTGATGCTTAGTTTGGCTGGATATGAAATTCTAGATTCAAAATTCTTTTCTTTAAGAATGTTGAATATTGGCCCCCACTCTCTTCTGGCTTGTAGGGTTTCTGCTGAGAGATCCGCTGTTAGTCTGATGGGCTTACCCTTGTAGGTAACCCAATCTCTCTCTGGCTGCCCTCAAAATTTTTTCCTTCATTTCAACCTTGGTGAATCTGATGATTATGTGTCTTGGGGTTGCTCTTCTCAACGAGCATCTTTGTGGTGTTCTCTGTATTTCCTGAATTTGAATGTTGGCCTGCCATGCTAGGTTAGGGAAGTTCTTGTGGATAATATCCCGAAGAGTCTTTTCCAACTTGATTCCATTCTCCCCAACACTTTCAGGTATATCAATCAAATGTAGATTTTTGTCTTTTCACATAGTCTCATACTTCTTGGAGTCTTTGTTCATTTCTTTTTACTCTTTTTTCTCTAATCATATCTTCTGGCATTATTTCATTAATTTGGTCTTCAATCACTGATATCCTTTCTTCCACTTGATTGAATTTGCTATTGAATCTTGTGCATGTGTCACGAAGTTCTGTGCTACGTTTTTCAGATCCATCAGGTTATTTAAGGTCATCTTTACACTGTTTATTCTAGTTAGCTATTATTTGTCTAACCTTTTTTCAACGTTTTTAGCTTCCTTACAATAGGTTAGAACATGCTCCTTTAGCTCAGAGAAGTTTGTTATTACCGACCTTCTGAAGCCTACTTCTGTGAACTCATCAAAGTCATTCTCCATCCAGCTTTGTTCCATAGCTGGCAAGGAGCTGTGATCCTTTGGAGGAGAAGAGGCACTCCAATTTTTAGAATTTTCAGCTTTTCTGCTCTGGTTTCTCCCCATCTTTGTGGTTTTATCTACTTTGGTCTTTGACATTGGTGACCTAGAGATGGGGTTTTGGTGTGGATGTTCTTTTTTTGATGTTGATGCGATTCCTTTCTGTTTGTTAGTTTTCCTTCATACAGTCAGTTCCCTCAGCTGCTAGTCTGTTGGAGTTTGCTGGAGGTCCACTCCAGTCCCTGTTTGCCTGGGTATCACCAGTGGAGGCTGCAGAACAGCAAATATTGCTGAATAGCAAATATTGCTGTTCAGCTATGCCTTACCCCCAGAGGTGGAGTCTATAGAGGCAGTAGGCCTTACTGAGCTGTGGTGGGCTCTGCCCAGTTTGAGCTTCCTGGCTGCTTTCTTTACCTTCTTAAGCCTTAGCAATGGTGGATGCCCTTCCCCCCACCAGGCTGCAGCCTCACAGGTCGATCTTAGACTGCTGTGCTAGCAGTGAGCAAGGCTCCATGGGCGTTGGACCTGCCACCTAGGCATGGGAGAGAATCTCCCGGTCTGCCAGTTGCTAAGACTGTGGGAAAAGTGCAGCATTTGGGTGGACATGTCCCATTTTTCCAGGTACAGCCTGTCATGACTTCCCTTGGCTAGGAAATGGAAATCCCCTGACCCCTTGAACTTCCCAGGTGAGGCGACACCCCACCCTGCTTTGTCTAGCCCTCTGTGGGCTGCACCCACTGTCCAACCAGTCCCAATGAGATAAGCCAGGTACCTCAGTTGAAAATGCAGAAATCACCCATCTTCTGTGTTGATCATGCTGGGAACTGCAGGCCGGAGCTGTTCCTATTAGGCCATCTTGGAAGGGACCGAAAGTAATCTTATTAGGCTATCTAAATCTAGATATTCACCTTTTATGGAAAGAGTTATTCAAGTGGAGGATAAACATTGTTTCTTGACATAGACAAAGTTATATGGCTGGTTAGGATTTGTGTGCTTCCATCATAAGCACACTTTATGTCTACGTTGACTTTAGAACCTAACCACTGTGAAAGGTGCTTTTTCTTGAAACCAATATCCAAATGACATGACAGTGAAATGTTTTGCTTGAGGGCACTGCAGATAACACCAACTTTGAAAGACAAGAACAATAGCCAGATTTCCCTTACTTTCCATTCTTTTACTCTCAGAATTTTAGTGAGAGGAAGGTGAGGACAGAGTGAGACGTATATCCAAAGCTCCAAACACACCACTCAGAAAGTACTCTTAGAAAAATCTGCAACTCAGAAGTGAAGACTCAAACACAAAACATTGCCTGAGCAACCATTCTCGTCATGATCATGATACAACTGTTTTTTCTCTTTGCATTACACAATCCTACCCAACATTTAAGACCCAAATAAATGTTTGCTTTTCTGTGTTATCTTTCCCAACTCCCACAGACATATTTATCTGTTCCCTCTTTTGTGTTTTCAGAGTCTTTGTGGTGGATATATTATAGCAAACTGCATTGTGATTTATATCTTCTTTTTCTTCATTTGATTATTATCTCCTCCAGGAAAATAGCTACTATTACTAACATTAAGCATTGTGCCAGGTATGAACTAGGCACTCAATAAATGTTCACTGAATGAATAAATGAGTACATTTCCTATTTTTCTTACCATCTCCAAGATAGAATAACTCAAAGTATGTTATGGGCTGAATGTCTGTGCTTCCCCTCTACCTCAAATTTCTGTGTTGAAACCCCTAACTCCAAGTGCAGCTGTATTCAGAGGAAAAAAGTAAATTATTTCATAAGGGTGGGGCCCTAATCTGATAGGAGTATTATCCTTGTAAGAGACATCAGAGCTCTCTCTCTCTCTCTCTTTTTCTCCCTGTGTATGCATAACCCTAGGAAAGGTCTTATGGGTACTTAGTGAGGAGGTGGCTATCTGCCACACAAAGGAAGAACTTTCACTGGATACCAACCCTGCCATCACCTTGAATTTGGTTTTCCAGTCTCCAGAACTGTGAGAATATAAATTTCAGTTTTTATTACATAAACCATTCAGTCTGAGGGATTTGTTATGGCAGCCCAAGCAGACTAATATAAACTACTACATGTAACCTGGGTTGCTTTTATGGTACTTGCCAAACTCTTCTCTCTGATAAGCATCTTGGGGAATGGCTCCTTGTTTTACGTAGCACTAGAGTTGACGAATGATTAAGTTTATTGAATACATGAATGGATGAAGCTTCTTTATTAATTGAACTTATGTGACTATTGCATAAAAAATTAATGAAACATCTTTTGATACAACTATATTAACCACATTTAACAGAAATCTTAAGTACCTTTAAATTTATCAGTAATAGAAAAAAATGACACTAAAACCTGACAGCATAAAAGGGCAAAATATGTAAATAGATACATCACAATAATGTATCAATAAATACAAATGGTAATGAGGACAATGAACCATTCAAGGACAGTAGAATAAATAAGTGCAAAGTTTAATAAGATACTCTTGTTTAGTAAGTTAGCAATTTTGAAAAGGTTGTCAATACTCAATACATGCTAAGAGGTTATAATTCCTTTTGAGCTTTAGAAAATAATCTAGCAATATACATTAAGATGCTTAGCATTATTTACAACAGTTTGCCTATTATTTCCAATTCTAGATTCTATCCTAAGAAAATCATAAAAGCAGAACTTGTTTTGTGGTCAAATATTTGCATTCCACTGAATTCATATAACTGTAGAAAAGAGCATCATAAAACATTGTGCTTAAAATATGCATATATGTTGCTTATTTTCATTATAGAAATCAAACACATTTTGTATTGGATCCTATCCTCTTAAGTTAGTCATATTTTGAGGTACTCTTTCCCTGCTCTTGATTCATACATATTCTTAGAAGCCTATGCTGCCTAGAAAACTTCAGAAAGCTCTGTCATCCTCAATCACTATGGTCAAGCTCAGATGCCCACATCTAGAAGGAGAAGGTAACTAGTATTGATGTTCTATGAAAGTATATTGATATAACACTTTTACCCATGCCTTAATTTTATAACGTCACCCCTGAGAATTGCTTTGTAATGAGGCTTCTGATAATTTGTTCTTTATGAGTTAAAAATAACATAAGTTTAACACATGTATAATTGGATAGCAGAATGGCTAAACTCAATGGCGATGTAAACAAGAAATGCACGTAATAATCTACACTAAGTGCCTTGGACCATGCGGTTAAAGTCTCTGTCTGCACTAAAGGGTCACACTGTCAACAGACACCATGGCTTTCTGGTCATTGTAAGAACAGTCTTACCTTGGCAACTAAGCCTCAATGTGACCTTTAAATAGGTTTAGCCCAAATAAATGTAAACAATTCAATATTGCACCCAGCTTAAGTCTTCTCCCATTCTCTAGAATCAAGTCTGACTCATTGGCTGGACCACAAAGAAGGGAAGCATGGTCTGTTACCTCACTGTGTTCTTTGTTGTTGTTATTGTTTTCAATAAATGAAAAAATTGTATAATACAAATTAAGTTATCCAATAAAAATGGAAGAAAATTAGATATCAGTGATAGCAAGAAATTTGGGGAGACTAAAAAATATGTGGAAACAAGAGTGCAAACTTATTTCCCATAAGCTATTGGGGTACAGGTGGTATTTGGTTATATGAGTAAGTTCTTTAATGGTGATTTGTGAGATTTTGGTGCACCCATCACCTAAGCAGTATACACTGCACCACATTTTTAGTCTTTTATCCCTTGCTCCGTCCCACTCTTCCTCCCCCAAGTCCCCAAAGTCCCTTGTATCATTCTTATGCCTTTGCATCCTCATAGTTGAGCTCCCACATATCAGTGAGGACATACGATGTTTGGTTTTCCATTCCTGAGTTACTTCACTTGAAATAATAGTCTCCGATGTCATCCAGATCACTGCAAATGCTGTTAATTCATTCCTTTTTATGGCTGCATAGTATTCCATCATATATATATATATATATATATATATGTATATATTTATATATAATATATATGTATAATCACAGTTTATATATATATGTAAATAACCACAGTTTATATATATAAAATCACAGTTTCTTTACCCACTTGTTGATTGATGGGCATTTGGGTTGGTTCCATGATTTTGCTATTGTGAATTGTGCCACTATAAACATGCATGTGCAAGTATCTTTTTCAAATAATGACTTCTTTTCCTCTGGGTAGATAACCAGTAGTGGGATTGCTGGATCAAATTGTTCTTTAAGGAATCTCCAGACTGTTTTCCATAGCAGCTGTACTAGTTTACATTCCTACCAGCAGTGTAGAAGTGTTCTCTGTTCACTGCATCCATACCAATATCTACTGTTTTTTGATTTTTTGATTACGACCATTCTTGCAGGAATAAGGTGGTATCACATTGTGGTTTTGATTTGCATTTCCCTGATCATTAGTTATGTTGAGCATTTTTTCATATGTTTGTTGGCCATTTGTATATATTCTTTTGAGAATTGTCTATTCATGTCCTTAGACCACTTTTTGATTGGGTTGTTCATTTTTTCCTTACTGATTTGTTTGAGTTCGTTGTAGATTCTGGATATTAGTCCTTTGTCAGATCTATAGATTGTGAAGATTTTTTCCCACTCTGTGGGTTGTCTGTTTACTCTGATGACTGTTCCTTTTGCCGTGAAAAAGGTCTTTAGTTTAATTAGGTCCCAGCTATTTCTCTTTGTTTTTATTGCATTTGCTTTTGGGTTCTTGGTCATAAAATCCTTGCCTAAATCAATGTCTAGGAGGGTTTTTCCAATGTTACCTTCTAGAATTTTCATAGTTGCAGGTCTTAGGTTTAAGTCTTTAATCCATCTTGAGTTGATTTTTGTATAAGGTGAGAGATGAGGATCTAGTTTCATTCTCCTACATGTGGCTAGCCAATTATCCCAGAACCATTTGTTGAAAAGGGTGTCCTTTTCCCACTTTATGTTTTTGTTTGCTTTTTTGAAGATCAGTTGGCTGTAAGTATTTGAGTTTATTTCTGGGTTCTCTGTTCTGTTCTATTGGTCTATATGCCTATTTTTATACCAGTACCACGCTGTTTTGGTGACTATGGCCTTATAGCACAGTTTGAAATCAGGTAGTGTGATGCCTCCAGATTCGTTATTTTTACTTAGTCTTGCTTTGGCTATGCAGGCTCTTTTTTGGTTCCATATGAATTTTAGAATTGTTTTTTCTAACTCTTTGAAGAATGATGGTGGTATGTTGATGGGGATTGTGTTGAATTTTTAGATTGGTTTTGGCAGTATGGTAGTATGGTCATTTTCACAATATTGATTCTACTCATCCATGAGCATGGGATGTGTTTCCATTTGTTTGTGTCGATCATGATTTCTTTCAGCAGTGTTTTATAGTTTTCCTTGTAGAGGTCTTTTGACTCCTTGGTTAGGTATATTCCTAAGTATTTTATTTTTTTGCAGCTATTGTAAAAGGGGTTGAGTTCTTGATTTGATTCTCTGCTTGATTGCTATTTGTGTATAGAAGAGCTACTGATTTGTGTACATTAATCTTGTATCGGAAACTTTGCTGAATTCTTTTATCAGTTCTAGGAGCTTTCTGGAGGAGTCCTGAGGGTTTTCAGGATAAGCAATCATATCATCAGCAAACAGTGACAGTTTGACTTCCTCTTTACCAATTTGGTTGCCCTTTATTTCTTTCTCTTGTCTGATTGCTCCGGCTAGGACTTCCATTACTATGCTGAAGAGGAGTGGTCAGAGTGGGCATCCTTGTGTTTTTCCAGTTATCATAGGGAATGCTTTCAACTTTTCCACATTCGGTATTATGTCGGCTGAGGGTTTGTCATAGATGGCTTTTATTAAATTAAGGTATGTCCCTTGTGCCAATTTTACAGAGAGTTTTAATCATAAAGGGATACTGGATTTTGTCAAATGCTTTTTCTGCATCTACTGAGATGATCATGTGATTTTTGTTTTTAATGCTGTTTATGTGGTGTATCACATTTATTTACTTGCATGTGTTAAACCATCTCTGCATCCCTAGTATGAAACACACTTGATCATGGTGGATTATCTTTTTCATATGTTGTTGGATTTGGTTAGCTAGTGTTTTGTTAAGAATTTTAGTATCAATATTCATCAAGGATATTGGTCTGTAGTTTTCTTTACAGTTATGTCCTTGCCTGGTTTTGGTATTAGGGTGATGCTAGGTTCATTAAATGAATTAGGGAGAGTTCCTTCTTTCTCTCTTGTGAAATAACGTCAAGAGCATTGGTACTAATTCTTCTTTGAATGTCTGGTAGCATTCTTCTGTGAATCGTCTGATCTTGGACTTTTTTGTTGGTAATTTTTTAATTACCATTTCAATCTTGCTGCCTGTTATTAGTCTGTTCAGGGTATCTAATTCTTATTGATTTAAGTTAGAAGGGTTGTATTTTTCCAGGAATTCATCCATCTCTTTTAGGTTTTCTATTTTATGTGCATAAAGGTGTTCATAGTAGTCTTGAATGATCTTTTGTATTTCAGCGCTGTCAGTTGTAATATCTTCTGTTTTGTTTTTTAGTGAGGTCACTTGAATTTTGCATTTTGCATTTTTTCTCTTCTTTTCTTGGTTAATCTTGCTAAGATCTACCAATTTTATTTATCTTTTCAAAAAAACAGTTTTTTGTTTTATTTATCTTTTTTTTGTTTGGTTTAAATTTCATTTAATTCTGCTCTGATCTTGGTTATTTCTTTTCTTCTGCTGGGTTTGGGTTTGTTTTGTTCTTGTTTTTCTAGTTCCTTGAGGTGTGACCTTAGAATGTCAGCTTGTGTTCTTTCAGTTTTTTGGATGTAGATGCTTAAGGCTATGAACTTTCCTCTTAGCATTGCCTTTGCTATAACCCAGAGGTTTTGATAGGTTGTGTCATTATTGACATTCAGTTTGAAGAATGTTTTAATTTCCATCTTGATTTTGTTTTTGACCCAATGCTCATTCAGGAGCACTGTGGTCTGAGAGAGTGCTTGATATAATATCAATTTTCTTAAATGTATTGAGGCTCATTTTATGGCCTATTATATGGTCTATCTTGGAGAAAGTTCCATACACTGTTGAATAGAAAGTGTATTCTGCAGTTGTTGGATGAAATTTTCTGTATATATCTGTTAAGTCCATTTGTTCCAAGGTGTAGTTTAAATCCATTGTTCCTTTGTTGACTTTCTGTCTTGAGGACCTGTCTAGTGCTGTCAGTGGAGTATTGAAGTCCCCCACTATTATTGTGTTGCTGTCTATCTCATTTCTTAGGTCTATTAGTAATTGTTTTTATAAATTTGGGTACTCCATTGTTAGGCATGTATATGTTTAGGATTGTGATAGTTTCCTGTTGGACAAGGCCTTTTACCATTATATAATGTCCCTCTTTGTCTCTTTTAACTGCTGTTGCTTTAAAATTTGTTTTGTCTGATATAAGAATAGCTACCCCTGCTCACTTTTGGTGTCCATTTGCATGAAATGCCTCTTTCCACCCCTTTACTTTAAGTTTATGTGAGTCCTTATGTGTTAGGTAGGTCTCCTGAAGGCAGTAGATATTTGGTTGGTGAGTTCTTATCCATTCTGCGGTTCTGAATCTTTTAAGTGGAGCATTTAGGCCATTCACATTTAATGTTAATATTGAAATGTGAGGTTGCATTCATTTTGCTTTTTGTTGTCTGTGTACTTTTGTTTTTTGTTTTGTTTTGTTTTTGCTTTTTAATATGTATTTTTGTTTTATAGGTGTGGGATTGATGCTTTAAAGAGGTTCTGTTTTGATGTGTTTCCAGGACTCGTTTAAAGATTTAGAGCTCCTTTTAGCAGTTCTTGTACTGGTGGCTTGGTAATGGCAAATTCTCTCAGCATCTTTCTGAAAATGACTGTATCTTTCCTTCATATATGATGCTTAGTTTCACTGGATACAAAATTCTTGGCTGATAATGGTTTTGTTTGAGGAGGCAGAAGATAAGGCCCCAATCCCTTCTAGCTTGTAGGGTTTCTGTTAAGAAATCTGTTATTAATCTGATAGGTTTTCCTTTATACATTGCCTGGTGCTTCTGTCTCACAGTTCTTCAGATTCTTTCCTTTGTCTTAATTTTGGGTAACCTGATGACAATACACCCAGGCAAAGATCTTTGTGCAATGAATTTTCCAGGTGTTCTTTGTGCTTCTTGTATTTGGATGTATAGGTGTCTAGCAAGGCCAGGGAAGTTTTTCTTGATTATTCCCCTGAATGTTTTCCAAGCTTTTAGAGTTCCCTTCTTCCTCAGGAACATGGATTATTCTTAAGTTTGGTCATTTAACATAATCCCAGACTTCTTGGAGACTTTGTTCATATCTTCTTATTCTTTTTTCTTTGTATTTGTTAGTTTGAGTTAATTAGAAGACCTTGTCTTCAAGCTCTGAATTTCTTTCTACTTGTTCAGTTCTATTGCTGAGGCTTTCTAAAAGTGTGTCCAAAGTCTCCTGAATTTTTGATTTTTTAAAGCTATCTGTTTCCTTGAATATTTCTCCCTTCACTTCTTGTATCATTTTTTGGATTTCCTTACAATGGCCTTCACCTTTCTCTGGTCCCTTCCTGATTAACTTAATAACTAACCTCCCTAATTCTTTTTTAGTTATATCACAGATTTCTTCTTGGCTTGGATCCATTGCTGGGGAACTAGTGTAATTTTTTGAGGGTGTCAAAGAGCCTTGTTTTGTCATATTACCAGGGTTGGTTTTCTGGTTTCTTCTTATTTGGGTAGGCTCCATCAGAGGGAAGGTTTAGAGCTGAAGGCTGTTGTTCAGATTCTTTTGTCCCATGGGGTGTTCCGTTTATGTAGTGCTCTTCCCCTTTTCCTTTGGATGTGGCTTCCTGTGAGCCGAACTGCAGTGATTGTTGTCTCTCTTCTGAGTCTAGCCACCCAGCCAGTCTGCCCAGCTCTGGGTTGGTACTGGGGGTTGTCTGCACAGAATCCTGTGATGTGAACCTTCTACGGGTCTCTCAGCTGTGGATACCAGCGCCTGTTCCAGTGAAGATGGTTGAGGGGAATGCAATGGACTCCATGGGGGTCCTCAGCTTTGGTGCTTTAATGGTCTATTTTAGTGCTGGTTGGCCTCCTGCCAGGAGGTGATGCTTTCCAGAAAGCATCAGCTCTAGTAGTGTGGAGAGGGACTGGTGGTGGGTTGGGCCCTAGAACTCCCAAGATTATATGCGTTTTGTCTTCAGCTACCAGGATGGGTAGGGAAGAACCATCAGGTGGGGGCAGGCCTAGGCATGTCTGAGCTCAGACTCTCCTTGGGCAGGTCTTGCTGCAGCTGCTGTGGGGGATGGGGGTGAGATTCCCAGGTCACTGGAGTTGTGTACCTAGGAGGATTGTGGCTGCCTCTGCTGAGTCATGCAGTTGTCAGGGAAGTGGGGGAAAGCCAGCAGTCACAGGCCTCACACAGCTCCCACGCAAACTGAAGGGCCAGTCTCACCCCCATCATGCACACCCCAACAACCCCCAGTCTGTTTCCAGGTGGAAGGCATGTCGGGCTTGAAAATTTGCCCTGGGCTACCTGCCTCCCAGCTGTGAAAGAAAAGGGCTTGGTTCTTCCCCCATCTGTGGAGTCCACACACTGGATTTTCACCCTCCCTGGAGTTCTGGCCAGGAGGCTTCTCACCCTCTTCAAATTGTTACAAAGTTCAGCTAGAGATTTCCTTCTCCCTGTGGAGTTTTACCCCCTGCTCCTCTGGTCACCCTCCGAATGGATCCCTGGGATGCCAGGCAGGAATGGCCTACTCGGGGCACAGTGAGCTCCCAGGGCCTTTCTGCTACTTCCTCTACCCTATATTTCGCTTGGCTCTCTAAATTGACTCAGCTCCAGGTAAAGTCAGAAACTTCTCCCACAAACAAGACTTTCAACTTCTCCAATGGAGGTGTGTGTTTGGGGGAGCAGGGTCTTCCTTTCCCACTTCTACAGTTGGGGCACTCACAGTATTTGGGGTGTCTCCTGGGTCCTACAGGAGTAGTACACTTCCTTCAGAGGGTCTGTGGGTCCTCTCGGGATTGCTGGTTTGTTCCTGCAGTCAGTCTGGAGCTACAATTCACAATGCGAACTTTCGCAAGCTGCTCTGTTTGGAGCTTCAATCTAGTCCTGCCTCCCATCCACCTGATGAGTTCAACAGCAGAACGTGTGGGATCGAAAGACACCGGAGAACTGCCAGGCCTGTGGGCCTTAAGCCCCGTCCATAGAAAGGAACTGTACTGCCTACCTCACTGTGTTCTATATCTCCACCTAGTCATCCTCAATTTATCATCTTCTGAGTCTTCCAAGGTCAAGGCAGAAGGGGTCATGTGCGGAATTGTGTAAAAAGGAAAAAACAGGTTTAATTGATGCTCATTTTGTTCTCTTTTAGTCCTCAATACCCTGTGAGGGGCTCACATGCTAAATGCTGAATTGTCCATGGAGCACAGATGGGCTCTTTTGGGTCCCCATTGAACAACTGTATTGCATCACTCTCTAGTTAGCAACTCAGCTCTTGCCCACATCAGTTCATCTCACCACTCATTACTGCCAGTGTTCCCCTGCCACGGCAGAAAGCCCTTTTAATCCAAGAAAGCCACATGGAGATGCTTGAGCTTGCCACTTTTTGTTGTGTAGCAGAACAAGTTGCAGACAAAACTCCTCAGACACCGAGTTAAAGAAGGAAGGGTTTTATTCGGCTGAGGGTATCGGCAAGACTCCTGTCTCAAGAGCCGAGCGTGTGAGAAGGTCATGATTGAGAAAGCGGGGGGTATGTGACTCGGGGCTGCATGCACCGGTAATTAGATCGGAACAAAACAGGATAGGGATTTTCACAGTCCATTTCTATACAATGTCTGTAATCTATAGATAACATAACCGATTAGGTCAGGGGTCGATCTTTAACTACCAGGCCCAGGGTGCAGCGCCAGGCTGTCTGCCTGTGGATTTCGTTTCTGCCTTTTAGTTTTCACTTTTTCTTTCTTTGGAGGCAGAAATTAGGCATAAGACAATGTGAGGGGTGGTCTCCTCCCTTAGTAGTATCCACTTCCCACATAGGAAACTAGTGTATCTTTTCTGAAAGTGGGCTGACTCTTGCTGCCCTCTCTGTGGTCAAACTTCTGCCTTGAAAAAAATTGCAAGACAGTAACTCTAAAATTCCAAAGGATACAGGCTGAAGCTCCTAAGACTTTTCTTACCATACTCCACTCAGGTGGCAGCATATGTGAGCCTGTGCACAAATGCAGCTCAGCAAGCATCCAGCCAGGGTTAACAATGCCAGTTCTTATGCCATCCTTAATCTCTAAAAGTAGTTCTTTTTGGAGTATAATAATCACTTAAAGGAATGGCATCCTTTGCCTTTCTTTCAGATACGGGATGGGGTGGAAAATAAACTAGAATGGCTCACTTTCTGCCAACTTTCCCCTTCAACAAAATTAGGATGTTAGCTTTTGTACACTGGATAGAATGTTGAGTATGACAGCAGAAAGACCAATTTGGCTACCTCTTAGCAAACTCAAGAGAAGGGAATCTGACAGCTTTTTGGCTGTTTTGATTAGAATGTGGAAATACTTACTACTTGTTGTCCACAGCATGGGGCTTTAGCCAAAATTTTAAAATGCAGGAAAGGTCCCATTCAACATATTATGACACATGGTCTTTAAAAGTTTCAGAGAAGCACAAAGAAGAAAATTAAAATCACCTGCAATTTCTCCATTGCTAGTTTTTGTGTCAGTGTCCATTATCTTTTCTAGCTACACATAAATAAATCTACGTAAATATATGTGTTCAGAGTCATGTTTTATAAATCCGTTTAATCTGATTTTTCTACTTGAATTTATTAAAATAAAATTTATCATTCTCATAAAGCATAATTTTCAGTGATGCATAGGTTTGCATTATTTTACAAAAGTTGCAAAAACAAAGACACATTGCTTTTGGTGCTTATAATCCTTTGATGAACAATTTTGCTATTTAATTCACTTATCAAATATATTTTGAGTGCCACTGTGTGCCAGGAACATTAGGAACAAGACAAATATGGTATGACTTTGTTAGAACAAAGGGGCAAGAGGAAACTTTGGGGTTATGAATGTGTTCACTATCTTTATTGTTATGATGGTTTCATGGCTGTATCCATATATGTGAAAACTTAAGAAATTTTATACTTTTAATATGGCAATTTATTGTACCTCATTTATACTTTTATAATGCTGCTTAAAAAGGAAAAAAATATCTACTGAGAGAAGACAATGTTTATTAAGTATATTTAAATACAATATGCATTTTGAAGTCAAAGTGTAGTTTAATTTGGAAGCACATAGCAGGAAACTCTAACCTGGTTTTGGAGAGGATATCAGAGAATGCATCCCTGACGTTTTAGAGGAGAACGAAGCATGAATAAGACCTAGTTAGGTAATAAGATGGGCAAAACAAGGGGATGGTGGGGAAGGAATTCTACACAAAAGAGACTTTCAGAGTTCCATGATCCTGAATTGTGAAAAAAGAAAATGAAAAGTACAATGATCTAAAAGAAGGGGACCATGAAGGTGATTTAAGAGAAATGCATAGAATAGTGAGAAATGAAAGTAAAGAATGAGGCAGGGACCAAAGTCTAAAGGAAAGATTTCCTGAATCACATTATTTCTGAAGAGCAAAGAGTGTTAAGCAAGTCCGTGGTAATATAGGATTTGTGTGTGTGACTGTGTGTGTGTTTAAATATCACTGTGCCTATTATGTGGGGGAATGGCTCTGTATGTGGGGGGGGGTTGAAAATAACTGAATTAGTGTTGCTACATTGTGCACTGTTGGGGGTGGGTATGTCATAAGACCACTGCATTCATTTAGTCATATCTGAGATTGTGATTTGAACTAGATTAGTTTCATTGATATTGGCAATAATAGGCATTTAGGTGGCAGACTTGATCAGACTTGGTAGTTGACTGTATATGGTAGGGGAGGAAAGGGGACATATATAATAAATCCCAAGTTTTTGATTAGAAAACCTGGTGGTACCTTTTGTTGAGATTATTAATACTGGAAATAAAACAAGCTTGAAGGAAAGGAATGTGTTCAGTTGTAGATACATTAAATTTGGGATGTCTGTGTGATAATTGAGTAGGGAACTAAAGTAAGCAGGTGTATATACTTGTAGCCAAGCAGATGGGCTTGAGATATGGCTTTCAAGAGATTTCAGAGTAGATATGATTGCTTAGAGAGTGAAAAATGGTGTGGTTTTAGATGGAGTCTTTAGGCCATTTTAAAGAGGGCTCATGGGACTATGAAACCAAGAGCTCTTAATGCTGTGACCAAAGATTGAAGTTCTCTATAGGTTGCCAAAGCACTCAGTGGTGCTGTGTTTTCCTGAGGAGATATAAGACTTGGAAAAAGAAAAAAAAAATAGACTGAGTCTCAAGAAACTCTAACATGTACTATTTTGGTAGAAAGGGAGGAGTAAGCAAAGAAGTCTGAGAAGAATCAGCCAAAGATCTAATAAAAAGCCTAGTGTATTTAAAGAGCTAAGAGGTTGCTAGTGAAAACTAAGGGAAGACTAGGAGTTGTCCTCCATTTGACTTACTGTATGGGGCTGTATTATCTTCCTATTGCTGCTGTAATAAATTAGCACATATTTGGCAGCTTAAAACAACACAAATTTATTCACTTACAGTTCTGGAGACCAGAAGTCTGGAATCAGCTTTACTGGATTGAAGTAAAGGTGTTGGCAGGGCAGACTCCTTCTGAAGTATCTAGGGGAGAATCTGTTTCTTTGCCTTTACTAGCTTTAAAAATATATATATTTTTATTTTAATAGCTTTTGGGGTATAAGTGGTTTTGAAATACATGGATGAATTCCATAGTGGTAAATTCTGAGATTTTAGCACACCTGTCGTTTCTTCATTTATTCGCCTTTTCTAGCTTCGAAAGATTGGCTGCAATTTTTGGCTCCTGACTTTCCTCAAATCACTACCACCTCTTTTTTTTTTTTTTTTTTTTTCCTGAGACAGGGTCTCACTCTGCTGCCCAGGCTGAAATGAAGTGGCATGATCATGGCTCACTGAAGCTTCAACCTCCTGGGCTCAAGCAGTCCTTCTATCTCAGCCTCCCAACTAGCTGGGAAAACTGGTGTGCTCCGCCCTGCCTGGCTAATTTTTTCTTTCTTTTTTTTTTTTTTTTTCAGAGATGAGGTCTGATTATGTTGCCCAAGCTTGGCTTGAAATCCTGGGCTCAAGCGATACTCCCCGCTTGGCCTCCCAAAGTGCTGGGGTTACTGTAAGCCACAGCACCCGGCCCCAACCTCTTTCTTATGTCATATCTCCTGCTACTCTCCTGTAGCAGCTTTTCCCTCTGCCTATTTTAAGGCCACATGTGATTACATCGTTTGACCCACCTGCATAATCCAGACTATCCTCCCCATCTTAAGATCATTAAATTTAATCATATTTGCAAAGTCCCTCTTGCCATTTAAGGTAACATATTAACAGAATCTCAGAATTAGAACATGGGCATTTGGAGAGGGGGTATTATTCAACCTACCACAGAGGTCATTGTAGAAATATTACAAAATTAATGTATTTCAAGTTAAAGAGGGCATGGTAGTAAAAGGTGAGAACAATGGAGAAAGAATGTGTAACCAATTTTGTAAAATTTTGACATAATTTTGGAGGGGAGAGAAAAATTAGAAGATAGGAGATAAATGTGTTGGAGGAGGGCTTTTGATTATAGTGGGAAACACTGAATGTGTTTAAATGCTGACGGGAAAAAAATCTAAAGAGTATCAGAGGGTGCAGATAGAGGAAGAGAAGAGTTAATAGGTGTTCAAGTTTTCTGATAAAAGCTGAGGGGCTGCAGTGAGGATTCTGGAAGGAACAAGCATCTTCATTTACTCAGAAGTATTTTTTAAGCAATTTGAGTGTGGAATTCTGTAATTGGGGGACAGCTTCTTTTTTATGCTTTTGAATTTAGTATCGATTAACTTTTAAAACACAGTACATAGCTATCTATTTACTTTATGGTTTATATTTTTATTAAAATTGTTACTCTATTTTCTTTTTATATTATTTTTCCCTAAGAAAATATTTTTAAAAACCCAAACTATGTTTCCTAGAAGTCTCAAATGAACAACAAAATTCTGGCTGAAGAAGGCTATAGTTTTATAGATTCTGCACAATTCCTCTTCATATTTTAAATTTCTATTTTTTTCTAACTTTGCATTGGTTTGTATTCTCCGTCAGACTTTACTAAACTATACTATCAAGTGAGCTATACTGAATGTGTTATTGTTCCCAAAGGTTTATTACTTAACATTCACATCACCGTTTTTTTCTCCCTTTCTTTCCATGGTCTTTTCTGTACATTCCAAATACAACAGATCATGGCTTCCACTGAGAGTTCCAGGTAGAGCATTTCCAGTTTCCTATAATTGGTCCCTGCCATACCTGCTCACTGAACATTATGTAAATTATGGCAGAGACCAAGAACCCAGAGGGGTGTGTTTGTGTGAATGAATGTGTATGTGAATTAGTGTGAGTGTGTGAATGGGGTGTGTGGGCAAGTGGTGTCTGTGAATGTGTGAATGATGTATGTGTATAAATAAATGTGTGAATGGTGTGTGTAAATGTCTATGAATAGCATGTGTGCAAATGTGTGTGAATAAATGTGAGTGTGTGAATGCTGAATGTGTATGTTGATGTGGAGAGGATAACTTATGATTTTAGTAACAATTTTCAAATTAGAAGCTTTCTTACCAACTTTAGTGTAGATGATACAGATTTCATTTTTGACAATTCAATTTCATACAATTATTGAACGTTTATTGCTTGAAAGATACAGTACTAGGGACTGCTAAGGAAAACAGTTTTGTTTTTGAGAAGTAAAAAAATCTACTGGCAAAGTGGTAGGAAAAAAGAAGGGAGACAAACTGAGTAACTAAAAATACTGGAAAATATGATAGTAGCCTAGGGCCTACTTTAGTTTGGTTGGGCAGATGCAGCCTCTCTGAGGACATTGCTTTCCAAGCTAAGCCCTGACGATCAGTTATCCAACCAGGATGATGAATGGAATGTTATATATCCTAAGGATATTGAAAAATATTATGAAGTTTCAGAGAAATTAGTAATCTAATTTGGTTTTGGGGTTCAGAAAGGTTTCAGATAAGATATGACCTTTCAGAAAGGTGGAACATGACAGGGAGGAATAAAGGGTAAAGGGATCAATGGAGTTGTGGGAATAAGCCAAGTTTTGGCACCAACATGGAGGGACAAAAGAGTGTGACCAGGCAGCAGAAAGTCGTCCACTTTGCTTGAAGCTGAGGGTTCAATTTTGTGAAATAAAGTGGAAGAGGTACTTAATATCATATTTTGGAGGATCTTAAATGGCTGTATCAAAAATCTGTATTTTAAAGTGTACAACATAGCAACATTAAAAGTACAGAAAAATAACATAGTTGAAATTATAATAATGAGAGCTGCCTTTATTGAACAGCCACTATTGACCAAACACTAAAAGAGGTATATAACCTCTTTTTATATACTTCTTAGAGAACTGTAGAATTATATATATTTTATATATATATATATATATATATATTTTATATATATATATATATATATTTTATATATATATATATATATATATATTTGTTTTTGAGATAGAGTCTTGCTCTGTCACTCATGCTGGAGTGCAGTGGCACGATCTCGACTCACTGCAACCTCTGCCTCCCAGGTTCAAGCGATTCTCCTGCCTCAGCCTCCAAAGTAGCTGGGATTACAGGCACGCACCACCATGCCCGACTAAGTTTTGTATTTTTAGTAGAGACGGGGTTTCACTATGTTGGCCAGGCTGGTCTCGAACTCCTGACCTCAGGTGATCTGCCTGCCTCGGCCTCTCAAAGTTCTGGGATTACAGGCATGAGCCACCTTTATATTTTTATAAAGAGTTAAACTGATGCTTATCTATGATAAGTAATATGCCTGAAACTCATAAAGCTAGAAAGGATTTGAACCAAGGTCAGAGAAACATCTGGAAATCAGGGAGGCTGGTTAGGAATCTGGTACAATGGTTGTGGTGTTAAGAGTAAGAGGAAGTAAGAGGATACGTAAGAGTAGTGCTAAAGCCCTGGAAAAGAGAAAATGAGGTTAAAGACATTTTGGATGCAAAGTCTACAAGATTTAGAATCATACTTGATGTGGAAAAAGGGAAAGGAATAAACATTTTAGATTATGTCTTCCAAGGATAAAATGTGTCATGGTTATTATTTTCAATTTTAATGCTCTGCATTTATTTTTTAACTATTATTTGCAGCATTTTAAAAGAAATATATGCTTAGTGTAGGAAAATTTTAAAATACATAGTAATAAGGAGAGGAAAACCTTTCCTAACATCAAAACATTCATTGATAATCACTGTTAATACCTTGGTACATTCCTGAACTTTAAAAAATGTATGCAAATATATTTGAGAGATTCTTTTAAAAAACATTTTAACATGATTATTTTTATACTACAGGTAAAAATTTAAAGCCTAACTTTTACATTTTTTACTGAATTATCATTGCTTTTCCTTATTATTGTACAAACTTCATAAACATTTTCCTGCTTGTATAATATTTCATTACCTGGGTTTCTATTACTTTACTTAATCACTTACATGCTGTTTCTATCTAGGTTGTTTTTGATATATTTTTGAGGACAGCTTTTATGTATAGGTTTTTTTTTTGCATTCAGGATTATATACTTGGACTGGATTTTCAGAAATAAAATTTTTAAATCAAAGAATATAGCCATTAGAAAATTCATAATTCACATTGCCAGAAGGTTTTTCCATTTAAATTCATGTCAACAATTTTTGAGAAGGACATTATACCATACTCTCAAAAGTAGAGAGAATTACATCTGTAACAAGATATTAAAAGGAAAATTTAGCTCAATGCTTTAAAATAATAAATGTCAGTGAGATATAAGTCAGATCATTCTGCCGGATTTACAAAAAGTAGGTTGCCAAGACCTGGCTAGATGATTCCTAAATCTCTTACCCACATAGATTATCTAAAAAAAAAAAAAAAAAAAAAAAAAAAAAAGCTGAGAGAGCAGATGGAGAAACAGTTGTAAATAGATTTTTATTTTGGGAGGGTGCTGCTAGTTTTCTGTGTATCAAACTCATCTTCTAAGTGAGGTAGAGCTGGAGTACCTGCTTCTCCTTTCAAATCTTATGAAGTAACCTTCTCTGTGCAAATGGGAAATCCTGAGTTGCGTCTCATTCTGTTGGAGGATCAAGTGGACTGGAATCTGATTTACTCTTGAGAAATGTCCAGTTTGAGGAATTAGCTGGGTACTAATGGGAGTGAGCAGTGTTGTCTGAGTTTGTTATGGAAACTAAAGAAGAATCATATGAGACAGAAGTGCCATGAGGTGATTAAGGCCAGGCGTGCTGGGGAGGTGTACAGACTTCACCAGAGGGAACCTGGAGGCAAGGTAATATTATTGGAAGGATGAGCCCCTCACACTCAGAGAGATGCATTCCTGAAGGCCATGGTTTTGTAGGAGAGAGAAGCCCAACCTCAATACAGGCTTCTGAAGCACCCAAAAGGGCTGCCAAGAGAAAGATCAAGCTATAATCATTTGCCAATACCTGAGTGGCAGCCAAGCAAAGAGAGTATTTTTGGTAACCTCTTGCCTTTTTTCCTTCCAACCAATAGCTTCTGGTCTGTCCTTTTCATCTAGGGGATAGGCCAGAACTCACTCCTCTGAATACGCTTGCAAGGATGATAAGAGATAAATTAAAGATAGAGGAAAATACTGCAACTTTTGGTTTTCAGTTGTATTTACTTGAGAAATTGTGAGGTTTGAGATTTTTTATCAGTTTGGTTAACCAGCCATATTTCTCTTTCAAAGTATCAATAAACATCATTATAAATATTAATGTCAAATCTTTGTATTCTCATCTAAAATACCTAAAATACTATTTTTGTACACTTTCAATTTGATGAATGTGTAGTTCCTTTACAATAAAGTTAAATTTTATCTTAGTTATTACAAAAATAAATACTACTCAGAAGAGTGTGTGTCAATGTAAGAGGCAGTATAGGGTAATGGAAGGTACAGTGATAATTTAACTTCAGAAGAGCATCATTCAGCCCCAGTTGGCTTCTAATTATGTGACATTGGAAGGATAATTTAACCTCAGAACCTCAGGTTTTAAATATATGAAAACCCAGGGAGCTGTCACATAGTGTAAAATAACATGGTATTTTTTTAGGCAAAATGGAGATTTTTGTCCCTTGAATTCCTAGTCCTGTCCTTGCACCATATCCACTTTATACTCTCTCCCATTTGTAGGGAGGGTGTCTTTGGTAAGATATAGATCCAGAGAATTTATCTGTACAATAGCATCAAAGTTATTCTAAAATAGGCAGTCATTATGAGCAAGAGAAAAATTTGTTGACATTTCTTTCTAAAGCGCCATCATAGAATCAGCTGGGGTAATCTCTGAAATTTTAGAAGGGTATCCCTAATCTTACAGATTATCAGCAAGAAAAATAAACAGCGATTTCCTAGACATGAACACATTCTTTCCCCTCTCCTCCACCTACCACATGGAAAGCAATGTGGAACTAACAATTATTTCTTCGGCAGTGCAAATTACCTCTGTCTTTTATTCCCACACTATCTTAAACACAGAGTTCCCTTTTATGTTATAGCCAGAAGGGTTAGCTTGTTAAAAACTTGTCCCACCATTCTCCAAAGTGTCATTCAGGGATCCACTCATGCGACTCTCATTAATGACAAAGACCTGTGTCTAAAGGAGTATGCAAAACCCCAGAGAGTGTAAAGACTCAAAGTGTTATTGAGGCCAAACCATCTTATCTATAGGTGAGCCTTCCGGGTCATGATGGATTCACCCCTGTGAAATAAAGTGAGGAATGTTTTGTGTGCTTGGGCCTCCTCTGCAATCACTAAATGCAAAGCTTTAGATCACCTCCCTGATACCGAATACAAATTACCCAATAAAACAAATAAAAGCTTTCCAAAGCTGTATCATACATCATATAAATTGTTTAACCCTATTCAAAAAACAAGCATTATGCCAGTCAGGTAGCAAAATTAAATAACTGCATTTGCAAAATTTAAAAGCAATTGCTTAAAACCTAGTTGCAAATTAATTTCTTTCCACATTTCTTTCAAAGCTATTTAATAAAGTTAAAAGTTCACCTCAAAAAGCCCAATATATGCCCACTTTCTTTATATAACTTTCATATGTGTATAGCTTTTGTTAATGCAGTTTTACAGAGGTGAGGATTCTAAAGAAAATATTTCTATTAACTCAGATATTGCAGAACTATGAGGGACTGCTTACTCAGACCCTTGATTAAAACATACTTCCAGTTTGAGGAGCTTTATACTCTATTGGAGACCTGAACAAAACCCCTGTAATTTAGTTATGCAACATTACTTAGTTTAACTGGCACTTTATGTTCTCCTGTGTTCAAATGAGAATGGGGAAAGAACATTCCTCATCCATCGGAGGACACAGACTGTATTTTGTTAGGATAGTCATCTTGTTATGTCCCATTCAGCTCAGCCCCATTAAGCTTTTGGGCCAAGAATTGCTGCCTGCGGCCAGGATTAATATATCAGTATTTTTTCCTCTTTAGTTTATGGTTACTTTTCAAGAATTAAAGATCATTCAGAAAGTTAGCTTCAGTTTATGAGCTGTTAAACCTATGGCAGATCTGATACAGAAAAAGCAAAAGCATAAATGTTATGAGTAGTAAGTTTCTTTTGCCGACATTTGTCCGTTTGCCGCTCTATTCTTTTCAACCAGAAAATCCATATTCCTTCCTAAGCCTTCATCTTTGTGATCCCAGGTCTTACATCAATGGGGACTGGGCTTCCCCAGGTAGAAAAGGAATGCTTATCCAGTAACCATCAACATTTCCTCCTTTAATAGGGCAGTCTTCCACATATGCTAATTTTCTTTCTCTCATCATCATATTTATTCTACAAGTGAGTTAACATATCATATGCTATGGTAATAAGTTCTAGATAAATGAACAAATGTAATGGAATAATTTTTTTTCTCTTGGTGCTTTAGATTTTCTATATGATTGTTGATAAAACATGTCAGATTCACAGCCCTGGAAATTAAAATCTGTAGTTTACAGAATTGATTCAGCAACTGGGAGAGCACAAGTTATCATCGTCACCAACCAATATTTGTTGAACTAAATTTTAAATATCTCAGCTAGTTCAGACATAAATCTCTTTACTTATTAACTCTTTACAGTCAGAGTACTGTTGCATTAAATGGAAATTCATGAACGAATGAATGTATGAATTAATATAGATGCACAAACTATTTGTTAGCTAGTCATGTGCTCCACCAGTTTCTAATTCTTAATAAATTCGGGAAACTCACTATGGATATTTTCTCAGGGAAGTACTGACTCTGGCGGTACTTGTTGCTGTGTCACTCACAAATACAAGTAAATACTGAAAAATTAAAATTAACCATCTCTTGTAACATCTCCATTCCGAGACAAAGAGAGTAATAGTGAAGCATACAGCATTTTTTCAATGGAAAAATTAACCATGTGTAAATATGTTACATAATTCAAGAGACTTTTTCTTTCTACACATGGCTTACACTTGATTTACTTGAAGACTCTTTCTAATTCAAACTAACTTAATTTAGAGCCTGCAAACTGGAGAAAACTTTGAGAATATTTTAAAAAGTGAAAAAGCAAGCATTTAATTATGATTTCTATTAAAATTTGAGGGCATCATTAACCACTGCATTTTTTTTTTTTTAACTCACCTCCTGGTTCCAGCTCATGGCTTTTTTTGTAAAACCTTCTGTAACATACTGCCTCCACACCACACTCCCATCTCAGCAAATGCCTGCTCCTGGGCCAGTTGTCCTTGTTCCTCTTTTTTGGCTACCTTTCTAACTTATTCATGTATTCTGCAGTATGGAAACCAGTTGTTTGAATGTATTTTTTTCTACAAATCTGAGAGTTCATAGAAAGAAGGGTCACAATCGAAGACACCTTTGTAAACGTATCCCCTTTGCCTTCCACAGGATCTGGCACAATGTGGATACTCAGTCAATATGCATAGAGTAAATACATGTGTCTTATGACAACATCTGTCCCTTCCAATCATTACTGCCACTCATATTTCATCCTGTGCTTACTTTCTGGATAGCCCCGTAAAACTTTTGATTGCTTTGAGGAAAAAGTTATACTTTTTTTTTGAACTAATATTTTCAGATCTTGGGTACACTAGGCCTAAATCCCCTAAATAAGCAAATAGTTTTCAGGGAAGCAGGCTACCATCCAGCCCTCATTGGCAGAGTCTAAACTTCTCTAATGAGGCCTGGCTGCTATTTTGAGCCAAGAGTTCTGACTGTTTCCATTTAGCAGCAAAATCCTTAGTCTTCATCATTCTCAAAACTCCATTTGTTTTCCAATTTTTTCTCACATTCCTGACATCAGCCAAATAAAGTAGTTCCATTTCTTGTCCATTTTAATATCATATTTTTATAGGATATTCATGGATATCAGATTTTTTTGCATCTTCTCTGCTAGCTAAATCATTATTTCTGCTTCCAATCTGTAGAGAAAAGTTCCATTCCCCTGGCTTTTGATTTTAGTTAAGAGCAGCCTTCTCTATTGTGAAATGCTGATAGTATAGCATAGTAGATGGATACACACCTAAATGATCTTAATGCAGTTTCCAGTGCTAAATGTGAAATATGTTAAGGTACCAAATAATACAGAGGACAGAAAGCTGATCTCTGCTTGGTGCTTTCAAGGACTGACTCTAGAGTCAGATTAACAAAGTGTAAAGATCCAGAGGTATGAAAGAGCCTGTCATGGGGACTTCAAGAAGTTCTGTGTCTCTGAAGCATTGGAGAGTTGAAAGGGTGTTCAATAATTAGGGGGATGGTGTGATTGGCTTCGTCTTTTAGAAAGTTAACTCTGGCAGTATGGTAGAAGCTAAGTTAAAGGGGATGAGAATTATGAGTGAATCTGAAATCATTCTGAAGTGAACTCCAAGGCACTTAAAGATAAAACAGTAAAATGGCAGGGTTAGGGAATTAACCATTTTCTATCCTGGAGAAAGGAGGACATTTAGAGGGTTATACATTAGGAGGAAGGGCAAGAACTCTAGGGATAAATGTGCACAGAAATGGGGAAGTTGTAATCTTGATGGTAGAACACCGAGTTACATGTACATAATTAAGAAGTCTCAGCCTGTATATATATATGTGTATATGTGTGTGTGTGTGTACACACACACACATACCTAAGGCAAAATTATAATAGGATTATGTAATAATATACATGAGCAGCTCTGATACACTCTGTGCCATGCCACATGGAAAGAGTACATGTGAAGAAAGAGAAAAAGAAATGCTCCCTGATTGTTAATTGTCAGGGGGCTAACCAATATAAATCTGAAACCAGTTTCAAAATATGTTCTGAGTTGCAGATTTTAGTGTTTTGGGACTCCAGAAAGAAGTCAGATCAATGTCTTCATGAAAGATGTCAGATGTGTAGAGTTTGGACGAAGTTGAGAGTATGGCATTTAAACCCCAGGAGGATGATAAGAAGGAAAGAAGAGAAAAAGGATGGAACCTAACTGATTCGTGAAATAGGAGACTGGACAGAAGGTAAATGGTTTAAAATCAACAGAGCATGTTGAGGGACAATAAGCAAAGGTTTTATAAATATGGTGAGAACAAATCACAGGGGAAACCACAGCACCCAGACATGGAAGATTGTGTGATGGTGTTGAGAACTGGGAAACCCTAAAGGCTTCAACCTTCATAGCATTAGGCACTGGCATAATGGAAGACTGATTTTGGGAAATGCAAATGATGGATTCACAGAAGGCCAAAACTGACCTCCAAAAACAGTTCCTGATCACCCTCTTGCCTTGGCAACACAAGACCTCTAAATGCTTCCTTTTATACTCTTCTTGTGTTACAACTTGTTTGCTTTTATAACTTTTTTAAAGCTAAGTTTTGACTTATTTCTCATAGCTAGAATGCTGCAGACATTCCTCTGCTGTGGAGAATAGGAAGATAAGAGTTTTATGCCACTACATGTAAAACTCCTACCACTACAGGCAAAGGCTCTTGCTAGAGGTTTTTTTTTCTGATTTGATTTGAAATGTTTGTTTATTTTCTTGCTTGTTGGCCAAACCCATGCACATTTTTAAAAAGGGGAGGGGGATGGAATCAGAAACAGCACTGTACTCGGTACGTTGAAAGCAAACATTACATATTGTCTTAATAATATAATACATAAGCATAAATCTATGAACAATTAGAGAAATATCCTTATTGCTGACACTGTAAGCCTGCTTTTATTTCTGGGCATTTGACTAAGTCTGTAGGCAGATGTGTTAATTCCTGCTATCCTACTGTTCTAGTGCATATTGTAACTACAAACAACTGAGGCTGATTTCCACATCACACAAGGAAACTCAGGGCTGCCTTTAAGTTCTACCTTTGTAATACTTGGCTTTCAGGTAATAGTATTTTAAGCTTCATTTAGTTGTGCTAAAGGGCCCACTATTGCTATAACATGTATAAAAAAAATTGTAGTCATGCATACTAAATTCGTTGAGTAAATATGTATAGTGGAAAGAAGCAACCCATATTAGGTCTGGTCTTAGTTTGAGGCCTGGCAAACAGTAAAATACTCCATGAGCTTCTAGTTTTAAAAAGTGAACTCAGTCACAGAAATCCACATTTCCTGGTGGCATTGCTGTGATGGGCTGCTGCTGGATTGCTGACAAACCATTCCAATGACACTACATGCATGTGTGCCAAATCTGGGAATTTAGGAAGAGAAAGGAAGAAGGAGCAATTCAAGGAGGCAATTACTGTCAATTATACCCCCAAAGGCTTAAGGCTATATGTGGAAAACATTAATAAAGCACTGAAGAATAAAGCACTGGGAAACTGACATTTAAGTGGAAAACAGTGTATTTCAGAAGTAGCAAACTGGCAGCCAGGTGGTCTGAATCTGGCTTGAATATGTGTTTTGTTTGGCCTTGGTAGTTTAAAAACAACACGAGTTGAACTGCCTTTAAGCATGGCATGTGTCCTCTGACTCTCTACTTTCCCCATCACTTTCTATTGTCATATACACATCGCACTTGATTCATTTTGTGCCTGATGCTATTTGAGTTTTCAACAGCTAAAATAATTTTTTGGACTTTTTATAGCAGTATAGCATTGTAATAAAGAGACTTTGGAGGCAAATGACTTGAGATGAAATTTGAATTAAGTGATTTATTAACTGTGCAATACATCTCCTTGGACTTCATTTTTCTCATCTTTAATAAATAAAACTAAAAATAATCCTACCTGCTGTACTTATAGATGGGTTAACCACAGGCTAAGTGTAGATCTCAAATAGCATAAAGTATGAGAATGTTTACCCATAGTGCTGTATAGTTAGCTATCATTTTGATTCAAAAAAATTGTTTCTTGAACTCTTATTTCACATATACTTCACAACAGTTACAATTATCTTTGTAATCATGTGTCTGGGGCCTTTCAACTTGTTGCCCTGTATGTACATAATTCAGTAGTTCCCAAAATTGAATGTATATGAATAAATGGTGGAGCTTTAAACAACGTTGATGAATGATTCACATCCACAACGATTCTGAATTAATTGGTGTGGGATTGGCCTGGGCTTCAAAAGGTTTCTGGTTTGTTTTTGTTTTTAACTCCCTAGTTGATTTTAATGATCAAAGATTGAGAACAATAGCTTACACCAATTCAGTACAACCATTATTGAATAATAAAATTTAGCCCAAACTGATTTGGTCATTCTTGGTATATTTTGTAATAAAATGGATAACCGTGGCTATTGCTGGTTAGTTGTTCCATCATTTATATCAGTGGTTCATAAAGTGCGACAGTATTAGTATCACCTGGTATTGGAGGCTGAATAATGGTCCCCTTAAAATGTCCTAATCTTCAGAACCTGTAAATATGTAACTTTACATAGTCATAGGAACTTTGAAGGTGTAACTAAGTCAACAATCTTGAAATGAGGACATTTTCCTGAATTATGCAAGTGGGTCCAATGTCATCACAGGATCCTTGTAAGACAGAGGCAGCAGAGTTCCAGTCAGAGAGAGATGTAAGGACAGGACTCTAAGGTCAGGGAGGAGAGAAGAAGCCACTGCTGGAAGCGCTTCTGTCTCTGAATCAGGAGAAGGGACCATAAAGGAATAAAGATGGCTTCTAGAAGCTGAAAACTGCAGGACAATGAACTCCTCCGTAAACCCTCCAAAAGGCATCACCTTGATCTTAGCCCTTTTATACCTTATTTCAGACTTCTGACCTACAAAGCTGTAAGATAATAAATTCGTGCTTTGTAAGCCACTACGTTTGTGGTGATTTGTTATAGCAGCAATAAGAAACTAATACACCTGGGAATTTCTTAAAAATGCAAATTATCAAGTCCTCCCCCAGAGCTACTATATCAGGATCTCTAGGGGTAGGGCCCGGCATGATTTAACGAGCTCTCCAGGTAATTCGGAGGCACAGAAAAATTTGAGAACCCATGCTTTATATTATTGTGCTTTAATCAGTTTTTTTTTTTTTCCCTAAAATGGATGGTTCTAATGATTTTGCAATGGGAGAGCAGGTACACTCAACTCATCTTTTACGAAAGGCTTTCTATCACAGAATAGATTAAAGAGAATCCTAGCAAGAAGGCATTTAAAGTGAAGACAGTGATGGGAAGGAAGATTCTCAATGTCTAGCTTGATTGCTGGGCTTGTAAAATTGTGTGTTTTAAGAGAGTTCTGATCTTTAGTACAGAAATTACAGACTTCAATTTAATACATCCTTATTTGGTGAACACACAATTGCTAATATTACTAGACATTCCTTTTTGTTATAGGAGGCTTTGAGGAAGAGACAAAGTCAACCTAAAGATCCCAAATCATGTCTTCTTTTCAGTTCTATGCTATTCACACAAAAAGTTTAATTTGAAGCTGAAGTGGAACAGATAGCGAATATTCACATGCTTTAAAAGTCTGTGCATTGTCAGAAAGAGTGAGAGGGGGAAGAAGAATTTACATTTTAACAAAATGTTTGCAATTTCAAAATACCTTGATTGACTACTGCCCAGTGAGTGAAAACCATATGCAACCTGTAAACGTGAAAATTTTCTGCTGCTTTGATTCTCATAATGAAAACTTCCAGCAGCCCCACATATGTTCCCTAAGGTCTATCTAATCCCATTTTGTCTGTTTAAACTGTCGGCAAGTATGTGCATGGTTTGAAGACTAGGCGCCTCTCTGTGGGGAACAGCGTAGAGACTACTGATTCATATCCTGGAGGTTTCTGATGTATTGAAAGCCAAAACTTTCCACTTTGACATTGAATGGTGACTAGTTTAGCTACTATAACATTACCAATCCTGCAACCCTTGAAACTGTCTGTCTATGAACTTTTCATTTGACCCAACTGGATACTCTACATTTGTCACTGGAACCTAAGAACAATCTTCTAAAAATATTGAAGCCACTTCTTCTGTTATTTATAGCATGGTCTGTAATTTCTGCGTCAAACTACTTAACTGCATTTTATCGTACTTTAAAAAATATGGTATGAGGATCTAAAGTTCAAGGAAGTATAACAATCCATTGAAAAATACTCACCAGACAAGTAATCATACAGTCTTGTGTCACCTGACATGCAGTGAACAAGCTGATAAATGAGTCAGGATTTAAATGGTAATTATCATTTATCATTATAATAGACTTATTAATTCATAAATTCTTGGTAAGCCAATTTTCTATAAAAAGGTTAATAATAAAAGTGGAAAAGAAAAAAATAGCCCCAATGTGATAAAAAATGTAAGAGCTAAAATATCTTTACTGCCACATAGCCCTCCTAATTATCTAGTAGTTTTATATTAAAATGTTTCTTAATGCAGGACTATATTTTCTCAGTATTTTGAAAGAACAAAAAGTACAATTCTTTTTGTTATGCACCCCCCCACTCTCCGCCATATGAACCAGCATAAACAGAATAACCAAATGAGGATAATATTTGAATACTCAAATATAATCCCAAATAAATAAAGATAGTTTTAAACAGTGATTCTTATTTTTAGTAAATGCCAGGGTATCACATTTGAAGTTGTTTACTGGACTATATCTTGTATTCTGCACAGCAGCAGTACACACATATCTGCTGCAGATTAATGTGGATAACAATGACAAACTGAGCCAACATGAGCATGATTAAGTCTGTTTTAGCTTAAAAGTACAAACCAGCCGTGTTGAAATCTATTTCAATAATATCAGTAAAAGAGCAGTTTAATTGTGCCTTGTACCTCTAAATAATGCTATAAAAGGACATGCAACTAGGAGAAAGGACTGAAGAAGAAAAAGAAAAAATAGAACCCAGCTTAAAAAGCTGCTAAAACATAACAACTGCTGGAAAGTCAAAAATACAACCTTTTGGAACTCACTTATTTCTTTAAAATGTTTAAACCATGGGTTTAAATTATTACTATTGATTATAGCCAGGGAAATGGGGCAAATTATCTATCTGTATAACTTCAGTTCTGAATATGGGACATGAACTATAAAATGCCATGATTAACAATTTTTACTATATTTTTTGTTTTCCTTAGGATGAGAGGTATTCAGCACAAAACTGGGCTATCAACTGGGTCAAACTGAATTAAACTGAAATAAAAGTAATCAAAATCCTTAAGTTTAGTCAACTACAGAGTCAGACTATGAGAGTTTACTTAATGAATGTGCATCCAAATTGTTAGGAAACTTTTGATCATAAACCAAAATAGTATGTTTCCATGAAGTTGGGCATAGAATTTGAAGGAGATAGAAAGATCACATTCATTATCTTAAAACTGATAGAATAGAGATTACATAAAATAACATATCTAGACACATATGTGTGTCCCATAGCAAGATATTAAAAAACTGAATAATTATGAATTTTACCTTTCCATTTATATGTATAGAAATGTTAAGATGGTTGAGGTCCAAGTGTCTAGACCATGGGTAAATAACATGCTATTGGTATTAGTGATTAAACTTTTGTTTAAATAATAACTGTATAATTAAGACCACATTGCCTGACAAATGTTTAACACATACAGCTTCCAAGGTTTTAAACACTGTGGAAGAAAAGAAGGGACCATCTAACAAAAACTGATAATAGCAAACAAATGACATGGAAGAAAATCTTGATCAATTGATTGATTTTCCTGTTGTCTAGATTGGAGAATATGTGTGTTAGGGGAGCACCCTCATGTCCTGCCTAGCAATTCATGTTTGTGTTTCTGAAGCCAAATAATGGGATGACATCTCACTTTGGAGTGGGGAAATTTTTTTTTTTTTTTGTAATCAGGGTTCTGAGGAGATATTTAAGAACCTCAAAGCCATATTATATTAGGCAAATTAAACAAATCATCCATTCATTTCCTGAGTAACCCTTATTCTCTTTTAGAGGCCAAAAGCAGAATTTCCTGAAGAAGGATGCTCTTTGTGATACAGAAAACTTAATGCCCAACCACAATAAATGTATAAATAGATTAATTTATTTAAAAAATAAACCACAGACTCATCTTTACTGCTTTACTACAAATTGCCTTCCAACCTTAAATACCAGACTGTGTGAAAAACATAAGAAACACTGCACTTGTTTCTTTAAAAGGGAAAGGTGCACCACACCCAGGGCCTGGGGTTCTAAGCCCTTGTTAGATGACTGTCCCAAGAGCTTCTAGGACGCTGGGCCTGGCTTTAAATGATAAGTAGCTGGTCAGAGAGAGAAAAGCCATTGAGCTATGAAAGTTGGTGTTATTGCTGAGACTCCATAGGACTAAGCAGTGTTCTGTAATAAACTCAAGTTGTATGGGAATTAGAACATAGTTTACAAAGCAGTGCAATGTAAAATTCTTCATTTACTTAAATAAACAGATACATGTTTATCAAAATAATAAGTTCCATCATGAATGTTATTTTGCATCTATGACCACTATGTAGAATTTAGAACCATTCTGATGTAGAAAGTTCATAGATGCGATATAGAAAGATAATTGTTTATGTTGATAGAATTGTTCACATTTTCCATACATTCTTTGACAAATATAGACATAAAGTTTATGTACTTTCAAAATTGTTAAAATATACCATTTCTCCATGCAACCTCTAATTTCAGGTGTTGTTTCTTTTTTTCATTTTTTTAAGAGACACTTTGTTATTTACTTCCTAAACTGTATCCCAGAAAGAGTGGGCTTTTTGTTTTGTTTTGTTCGCTTTTTGAAGAGTAATGGAATTGCTGATCAACAGAGGGAACTGCATTCGCACTGTAAACGTAATTCCCACGATTCTGTCTTCCATCTAGAGAGCAATTCATCGTGATGGATGTGATGAGCTGCAGTGACTAAAGATGGCACAACATGAGCACCTACAGAAACTGTTATATTTGTCCCATCTGTAACACATTCATTGTTTCTCCAGTTTTTCTAACATTCTCCCACACACCTCTGAAAAACTGGCAGAAGATTCAGATGGGTTTATTTTTATGACCTTGTGGTTACACTCTATTCAGTATTTGGGGGGAAATACCAACTCTCATGCTGACTTCTTTCATTAAATATTTTTTTAAATATACATGCTCTGAAAACTGAGAACGCTGTATTTATCTAACTCGTCGATTTAGTGCATAAGATACCTAATCTAGCACTTAACAGCCAGCCACCCCACAGGCTCCTTGGAAAAGAGAACATGCTGATTGTGGTAACAATGAAACACTGTTTTGGGGATAAATTCCCTCTCATCCACCAGCACAGCACATGAAATCCAAACCTAAACTATTGGGGTGCTTATCCTCCAAGCTCCTTCACTCTAGGACATTTGTCTCTGTGCTGCCTCTTAGAGTGAACAAAAAAGGTTAGAACCAAAATGCCCATTCTCCAACCTGGGTTTTGACTATCTACCTGGGATAAATCAAATTAATATGATTCCTTTCATTGCCAAAGGAAGTTCAGAATTCAAGGAGAAAGTAGGTCGCAAAGTGGATAGAAATGGACAAATATTCCTGAGCCTATTCCTCAATGATCTCTCCTTTGCCTAAATTTGCTATTAGGAATTGTGGAATACTAGAGTGTGTATTTGGAATTTACATCACTACCTTTATACCTAACCATATTTTATATGGACTTTACCTTTTGTAAATAATATTTTAACATTTCCACGTTAGGGGCTGTTCTTTTTATCTCTGTATGCCTTCACAGCACATGGCATTTCTGTTTTTTCTTTCTCTGTTGGACGTGCAAACATGCAAACACTTCACTGACATGCTCGGCGAAGAAAATTTTGGCATGCAAAAGTCCTGGCACTAAAAAGCAGGTATGTACAATTAAATGCACATAATATGTGGGGCTTTTTTTCACAATATGCAATTCTAACATTTAAAATTTTGCATTAAAACCTCTGGGTTATAATGTCAGCTCCATGCAGGCAGGAATTTGTCTTCTATGTTCACTGTCATATCCCCAGTGCCTCGCACACTGTAGGTACACATTAGGTGTTTATTGTATAAATTAGAAAAATGCCATTAACCTTGAAACTTCGAGTAAGAAAAAGAAAATTTGTAATACAAAGAGCTATAACATGATTTGTGATTTAAATTCATAAGGAGTAAATAATGTTGACTTAAAAAAATAATGTTGAAGTACAGGGCATATGGAATATGCTTTTTCATGTGGGTTCCTGATGGCCTTTGAGTCTGGGCAATTTTTTAAATAGGAAGTTGGCTTAAAGTCAAGAAACAGGAATCAACATAGAGTTTCTGTTTGGAGGGAGGCAGATCTGATATGTAGCTCGTATGGTCATAACGTGTGTTATAGAAATAGTGAAATGTTTCCATACTGGCTGTTAAGTAACTACTGACACCTTCAAGTACCCACTCCATCCCTGGGGATTTTAGTGTCCCCAAGAATTCCCTAACCTTCCCATAATGCCACAAAGATAGGCATAGGGCCTGGCAGAGGAACGGGCCTCCAGCATTGTGGCCAGGCATAAATCTGATTGGTCAGTGCCTCTGCTGTAGTGATTGTTAAATACTTTGAATAGTATCACTGCCATTCTGCTAGAGTTCTGACAGGAAACTAGTCCTTTCCCTTCCCAAAAGTTTTATAAGGGTTGAAAACTTGTTCCTCCTACTGTTGCAGAGGTCATTCAAAGGTTTGTAGAAAATGAAGGAAAAATGTATAACTTAAGAGATGTCACTAGCACAGAACAAAGGAGAATGAGATGGGTAGCCCTTGAGAAAGAGATACACATCTTTAAAGTAGAAGTCAGAGAACAGAGATAAGAGAGTGATGCCTTGTCTTGGACTGCATTGGTTAGTAACAAGACATGTGTAAAATAGAATGGCTTGGCTGCACAATGATGGGAAGAAACCAGAAGAGGGAGGGAAAGGACTAGTGAAATAAATCTACTATAAAGCGACTATGGCTTTACTCTGAGGACATCCAGGCAGGCTAATGCAGTCATCTAAATGTGCAGCACGTACTCGCATGTACACACATAACATACATCAATCAAAGACATAGATATGAAATGCATCAATCTAGTGGGTAAACTAGGGTAGCAGAAATCCAGGAAGTGACAAACCACTGAAGTAAGGCAAAGAGCAGTAAAGCAGTCCTGGGTGGTCAATGTAACAACTTGATATGAATAGGAGTTGATGCCAGAACCAGAGGAACAAAGGTAGGTGGAGGAGAAAAAAGTCCTGATGTCATATGTCAAGGTTGTATGTGTTCCATGACTCATTAAGCTAGTCAGTACCTTGTATATTCAGATTTTAAAGTTAGTATTTGAGGCAATAACTTGAGATTATTTTTCCTTTCAAAATTTATTTTTCCTTTGATTTCTTCGTTTTAATCTCTGAGCTACTAACTCCGTAACTTTATCTTCCACTTAAAACATTTACTCCCTTAAAACTTTGTGTTCACGCTTTGTGGGGCCTGGATCTTGGCTCTAGCTTATCTAGTACGTGCTGTGGTTTTCTCCAGCCTTCCCCCTACTGGTACTTGTGGCCCCACAGTTCTGGTAAGTTTCTTGTTTCTCCTCTAGTCTTAATCATAATGAGTGGTCTCCACCCTGTCCACAACGTTCAGCAACCAGCTGAGCACTTCTGGCCACCTCATCGGCTAAAGATGCAGGAATTTTTATAAGAACTAATCCAGCTAAGGAGAGAGGAAGAGAACAGAGTGTCAGTCCCGGTACAGAACTGAAGTATGAGAAAGAATGAGGCCAGAGCACCAAGTCATAGTTTGGACCAGTTCTTAAAGCACATAATCAATGCTGCCACTCACAAGGCTCATTATTTGGTACTGGCTTTGTGAGTGATAATTTCTAGGTCACACTGACTGGTAGTATTGTGAGTCTGGTTGAGCTTCCTACTTGGGTCAGCTTGGCTTGCAGCTGGTGAACCTTACTGACCCCATCTGCAGCATGCTGGAAAACTCAAAGTCACCTGATGCACACATACAAAGACAGCATAGTGCATGTAGGGAAAAAATGGTGTACCATTCTGAGAAAGGGACAATGACATATGTAGCGAGGAGAGCAACATTCTGAGAATAGCCACTATTAGACCTAATGTAGAGAGAGCTTGTAAACCTCCTGCCACACACATAAGAACAAGAAGGCAGTTAGGAATACAGAACTAACTATCGGCTCAGCCATTCCTGGAAAGAGAATTATTGCAAACTCCCTAGTGAGGGGGTATTGGCAATAAATACTAAACTCATACACCTGTAGTGTAATGTTAATTCATAATTCACATATAACTGAATCTAGCTAGTATGCTATAAATTTCTCCACACAATGATCAAATGATTTTTAAAGAACTTTCTTGAATTTAAAAGCCCAACTAAAGCTCCCCATCCAGGTGTTGAGAGAAGCTTCCAATCATTGGATCAAAAGATCAATGCCTAAAAAAAAAAAAAAAAAAAAATCTGATTTGTTCTAAATTTGGGCTTTTTACATTCATTACTTCTTGGGGGAAAAATGCAGTGGAGCAATGAAAAAGGGACTACATGATCGGTATCCTAGAAACTTCCAATAACAAATTAAAAATTATATGAGGAAGTCAATATTTTAGAGGTGGTAAATAATTAAAACAGATTATTAAGCTATTAATTCCCAATTTGACACATAGACAACAAAAGTAAGTTTTCATGGAGCTACTCATAAGAATTTTTCTCCTTGTGTTTTATTTAGCAAGGAATGTTTTTAGTAGCAATATTATTCATTTATAAAATAAATGTGGATTCAATTAATAAACTGTATTCATACTCAGTCTGTCAAATTCTTATTTTTAAACAATTGGGTTCACTGAGCAAGCTAATTTAATGCCTTGCTAAAAAGAAAAAAGAATGGACATTCTCTTCAGTCAAAAATGCATGTGGATAGAATTTAAGCAAGTATGCTTTTTCTCTGTGGAATAAAAAAATATAACTGAGTATATATTATAAACACATACACACAATGGAAGAAATCAAACTAAATGTGTGTGTTTAACCTTTTCAACTTTTCGAATATTGGATGTGGTAAGATTGGGTATGACAGTCAAGTAGCTAAGTTGAAAGTTTTCTCTTTGTATATGTTATTTTTATCCTTCTCTTTTCAGAATCTAAATGGAAACAGATGACTCCTTCAGAAGTATTTAGCCATTTCTTTTGTAAATACTGTCAATTCACAAATATATACTAAATGATCATACCAATAATCAATAATTAAACAATAAGGCTGGAAAAATTACACTATGTTTGCTAATCAATGTTCACTTTTTTTCTGCTTTTCATTCAATTCACATAAGATCATCCTTTGTAATAATAATAACCATACACTCAAAGAAATGAGGGCAGCAGAGTAAATTATTATATTTTCTATTTGTATTTAATACATTTCCTTATTATGCAACAGAACAGTTTACTATTTTCCTTTTAAAAATAGAGACCAGTAGAGATGTTCTAATTAGCATCTCTTATTGATGTCACATAGCCAAAGAAAATTAAATTTTGTTCCTAATTATCTTGATTCTCAAGAAAGATTTTATGAACATTAATGTTTGATATCGGATTTTATACAATGTTATGATTGCACCTATGTCCATGTCAGGTGGGGTAGAAATAATGGACATATCATACCTTTTATATAACTTTCAATTCACATCTAGCATCTCAGCTTGATTATGTCACCAATGATGCCCAGGCCCAGGCAAAATTATGGAGTAGATAGTGCTCTTTGACCATTCTATCTACCTTGCCTACCCTTTGGCATTTTTCTTTCTCCTTTCTTCAGAACCTACTGTTAGTAAACGGTTTATCCTTAAGTCAATTTAGTATTAGGGATTTAACAGACTACCTCATTCAAGAATTAATTGTAGTTGCACTTGTTTAGATGACAACAAGCAAATTTCAAAGGATCATGCCTATGATGGAAGTTCAAGCACTATAGGTTCTACAAAGGGAATATTCTTGGTCAAGAGGTCTTTTTAGCATCCTGATTAAAACAAACAAATAACAACAACAACAAAAATCTTCTTTTTCATCCTTAAGTCATCTCTTACAGTTGTGTGTGTTGCATCTGTGTGTGTGTGTGTGTGTGTATGAGAGAAAGATTTTTTTATCTGCCATAATTTTGAGTATTGCATGTATAAGCCATAACTAGATAAAAAGAGTACATTCACTATGTATATGTGGTTTTGCAATGTACAGCATCCTTCGGAGAATGCTTTAAAAAATGCCAATCTGATTTTTTTCTAAAAGCAAGAAATGACAGCTGTAAGTTGTGAGGATTGACAACTAAAACTAGGCAATGGCATTTTAACCAATGAGTAATCAGGATAGTTGACAGGTATTCTTCAATACTCAAATTTCCTATGAGGCACAACAGTTTGGCAAACAAATGCAAATGAACCATGATCCGATGAAAGTCAGTTTATGATTGCTAAAATTTTAGATGTCAATACTTACCAGAATACACATTATGAGCTGTATAACTTTCATTAGGAAACATTTGCAGAAGAATATCTGAAGCTATAGCTATATGATTAAATTTTTTGCCACTAGAAATATCAATTACTAAATACCAAACATCTTCTTCAGAGCTACTTGAGACATTAAATCAATATGTAAAATGCCAGCAAGATATTGTGAAATACAATCTTTGCACTGTCAAAGAGCATTCTCTGGAATATTCACACTGGCGAATATTACAGTCTACCAAGTAAGCCACCATCCTAGCAAGCAGTGAGTCACCATCTATAAAAATTCAGAACTTGCTTAAATTTGGAAGTTTATCAGCTATGAAAAGGAAGTTACTATACCAGAAAAATGCAGAGATTTTGAGGCATTGCCTTAAGTTGTCTCATTTATTATCCAGTAGTCCATATCACCAAATAAAATGTGTTGTGGAAAAAAAAGCAATAAGCAAGAGGGATCAAACAACCATGGCCAGCCCTTTAGAAATCTTTGATAAGCAATTTTTCCCCTTCTATCTCACTTCTTCCTTCGGATGCCCTTATTTGGATTCTCTTCTTCCCTACTCCCTAGATCCAAAAAGCATGCTTTGCCCCACAATTTTCTCTACTCCCTGCTCTTGCATTAAAAATAAAATTGTTAATGACCAGTGATGACGATCTTTAACAAGTTTATTTTTTAATGCAAGAGCAAGAAGTAGAGAAAATTGGAGGGCAAAACATGCTTTTTGGATCTGGGGAGTAAGTAAGAAGAGAAGACGAATAAGGGCATCAGAAGGACAAAGTGAGATAGAATGGAAAAAAATGCTTATCAAAGATTTCTAAAGGGCTGGCCATAGTTATTTGATCCCTCTTGCTTATTGCTTTTGGTGATTCCTCAAGGATCTAGAACCAGAAATACCATTTGACCCTGCAATCCCATTACTGGATATATACCCAAAGGATTATAAATCATTCTACTATAAACATACATGCACACATATGTTTATTGCAGCACTGTTCACAATAGCAAAGACTTGGAACCAACCAAAATGCCCATCAATGATAGACTGGATAAAGAAAATGTGGCACATATACACCGTGGAATACTATGCAGCCATCAAAAAGATGAATTCATGTCTATTGCAGGGACATGAATGAAGCTGGAAACCATCATTCTCAGCAAACTAACACAGGAACAGAAAACCAAACACCGCATGTTCTCACTCATAAGTGGGAGTTGAACAATGAGAACACATGGACACAGGGAGGGGAACATCACACACTGTGTTCTGTTGGGGGGTGAGGGGCCAGGGGAGAGATAGCATTAGGAAAAATACCTAATGTAGATGACAGGTTGATGGGTAGAGCAAGCCACCATGGCACATGTATAGCTATGTAACAAACCTGCACATTCTGCACATGTATTGCAGAACTTAAAGTATTAAAAAAATAAAAAATAAACTTGTTCTAATCCTATGTCCTATACAACTATTCTTTGGAAGATAGTTTCTTTTATTGATTTAAATATTTTTTAAAAATCTCCTAAGCAACAGATGATATATATGATAAGTGCTATGGGTACAAAGATAAAGGAGAAATCATTCCTTTCATCAAGGAGCTGCCTGTCTAGATGAGAATATTCCTATTAGTAAATATTTACTTAAATATTTATATATTTACAGCTAAAAATATAATATTTGTGAATGGTGTCCAGCTTTTGCATTTTAATAGAGTATTTCCACAGAGAGGTCGTAACCTTAGAAAAGTAATTTTAATGGAAAGAACTTTAAATACAGCACGGAGTGTGGGGTGGTGGTTTAGGGTGTGGGGAGGGAGTTGAGAAAGGTGGGAGGACTTTAAGTAATAGTCACAGCACATATTGTCTCATTTAATATTATTTTCAAGAAAATGCAACCCCATTACTAAGTAAATATACTGGAATACCTGCTATGTAAATTATATGATCACTGTAGAATATTAACATATGGTTTTCCTGCAAGTTCTACTATGGTACAGTCAACCTTGGAGGTTGGAAATTGAGTTTCAACTGTGGAGTGAGGTCATCCCCATTATCAGTCCCTTCAGTAAGGCTGACTGAAGGAATAGCCAAAGATAGAGAGCAATGGTACAAACAAAGGCACCTTTGCCTTCCAGGGGACATTTGACAATATCTGGTGACATTTTTTATTGTAATAATTGGGGAAGTTGCTACTAGTATCTAGTGCACAGAGACCGGGGGTCCTGGTGGACGTTCTGCAATGTACAGAACACATCCTCGCAACAAAGAACTATCTAGCTCCAAATGTCAATAGTGTCTTCAACCACTAGTCTTCAGCCAGTAGTGCTGAGGTGAACAAACCCTGATGCAAAGGGTTTTCCCAAAGGCAGCATCTCTTTCATCCTGAGTTTCCTCTCGGGAATGGGTTAGGGGCAAGCTTACTGTGATAAGATTTAAAAGCTGATATTTTCACCTACCTAAAAACATTTGATGCATTTCTCAAACTTGAGTTAGTATTAAGATATCTGGGACATGTCTTTAAAATACATATTAATGAGTCTACTTCCAGGAGATTCTTATTCAGTAGGTTTCAAAAAGGACTCAAAAATCTTAAATTTTCAGGTGGTTCTAATGTGAGTGATTGAAGGACCACACTACATGAAACATTGATCTGTTGGATAAGACCCAAGTTCTCTGACATTCTTCACTAGTCTCCACCATTGTCAAATTCCTGCATATTTGTTCTGATGTACATATTGTCTCTCTCTTCTCATACACTATGTTCTAGCAGGAGGTCGATTTGAAGTTCACTGAAACTGTACTATATCATGAATGACCACCTTTCACATGCTGTCTCTGCCTGGATCCCCTTTCTTTGTTCCACTGGTGAGTAACCAGTAGTATGCAGGTAGGTAGATGTTTAGTGGTTGTCCAAAAACAAACAAACAAAAAAACCCTGATTTGTAGTATTTGCCAATTTTGGTGGTATAAATACTCCCACCAAAGCCAATTTCAAGCAACCAATATGGCCTTCCTAAACACTGAGACTTGAGACGAGAGGTACACAATTAGCTCTTGATAATTGGAGTGTGCTAGACCTAATACATCATTGAGAGTAACCACTATCCTTTAGCCTCTCTTGAAGCCTTCTCTAATAATTCAAGTGTTTCTTGCACAATTAATATTGCAAGTATCACATTCTCTCATGCTTACTTCTTAATATGCACATTACTTAGCTAGACTGTGAACTCTTTGAGATAAAGGCCTGTGATAATAAAACATATATATTCAGTTATATTACATTTTTCACTCAAGCATTTGTGTATTTCTGGTAATTTTGTGTATGTTTTTCTTTTGATATCCCAAATTATTTAATAAAGTTTTTAAATCTTCAAAGTATTGTCTAAGTTCCAACATTGCCTATGGTAAATTGTACCAAGCCAAAGAGCTTTTGTTCATACTTAGGCCAAAAGAAGAACAGGGAAAATATATCTTCTGAGAGCCAGCCTAACCACTAATAAAAGTGAGACACATGACCTTGGAAATTTAACTTTGAGCTGCTTTTCACTAATTTGGGATTCTCTTACAAATAATATAGGTTTTGGGTTATTTTGGTCTAAGAAAATTGTATTTACTTACAGTATAGGACTTTATAGTCAACTTTGCTGAGTTGAACTATTTCTACTTTGAAATTATTAGGAACTTCTTAACTGGGACCATTTTTTTTTCTCAAAAAGGATTCCCTTACTGGTTCATTCCTAAGTAATTGCCTTCCTGAAATGGAACATGTTTTTGAGGTCAGAAAAATTTGATAATTGCTCTGGTACCTGGAAAAGATAGAGAGTGAAGACTTTTTATGGTGCCACAAGAGAGTCCACCTTAAGTATACAGGCAGATTGTTTCATTTCATCGGAAAAGATAATACAAAAAATCACTATGAATACATATTATTTCAGTCATTTGCCTTCTTCAATCATATTTAAAAAGTAGATATTACAGTATATTTGTTTTACTCAAAATTCAATTCTAAAAACTTTAACAGTAGTGAATGTTCTCTCTCTATCGTGTGTGTGTGTGTGTGTGTGTGTGTGTGTGTGTGTTGTCATAGATTCAAATGGAACCAACAAATCATAATACAGTGTAAACAGAAGAAATGATCTTCCTGTAAGGGCACAGGCATAATGATGAATTAAATAAATCATAGCATGCTATGGTATAGAATGTTCTTTCAATATTTTATGAAATTCCAAGTTCACACACAAAGAAAAGTGTTTCTTCTAGGAGGTAATTATAAACAAAAGACATGGGGGAGTTTTGTCAAAAAAAACCTTACTTAGGAAATGCATTTATTTTGTGCACATACTACTTTTGCTTATTTGCTTTTCGGTGGTTTATGGGAAGATGCAAGAAGAGCTTAAGTAGATCTACATGTGATTCAGTAGAAGCAGATTTTTTGTTTTAACTTATCACTGAGCCAACTCAAACTCTATTTCCAACTCAAAAGCAAAGCCAAATAATATTTAACTTTTCTGGCTTAAATTACTCATTTAAAAAGTAAGTTTAAATTGGCAGTGAAAACAATTGTATAAGCTGCTAGGGCCGAAACCTTAGAACAATGATATTTAAGTTTAGATTATCAAATACTTGATAAGACTGAAAATCATTGTAGAAGATCATTTTCAGTTTGATGATTTTTCATTTTGGAATTATTTATTTATTTGCCATTAAAAAATGACTTGCTCTCAGGCTTGTATCTCAAAGAGAGAAACAATTTTGAAAAATTAATATTATATTAGGCAGGGATCCCAAAATTTGATAGGACACAACTGTATAGTAGAACTTAGTGATGTAAATGACATATTTTTCTTAAGAAATAGACTTTATAACTTTTTTAAAGCTTTATCCCCTTTGAATGATGGGTTTTTTTGCCTAGGAATGAAATAATTATATATGGTACTGTACCACAAAACTTTCTTAAAATATATATTGCATCAGGGTCATAATGTTGTAATTTAGAATTGTAAAGGTGAGAGAGTGGGCTTGTAAATTTAATATCTCAGGGACTTTGGATCATTTCCACCTAAAACTTGGCTTACTATATGTCTCCACAGATGATTTTAATGGTTTAAATTGGTTACGGCTTTTCAAATTGTGAGGTAGCCAATAATTTAGCTTTGACCAGTTTAAACAATTAGTTCTAACCAGCTCTAGTTATTCTAAAAACTAAATTTTAGAGTGAAAGGAGTAAGTGTGCTTAGTTAACATTCCTCATTGCTCAGAAACATATATTTGAAAATAACATTTTAAAGGTTTTAATCTAAAGGAGGAACTTTTTATTTCTATAAATAATTTTAAGGGATTTCTTAATTCTGTGAACAATATGTTGTGAATACAAAATATTGTTGCATGCAAATGAAAATTACAAATATGGAGAGCAATAGTTTCCAGACAAAAATCCCTTCTATCCTCTTTTATAAACATACGAGTAATATTTCCATGGTCTTGCTAAGTTTCATGTTTTGTAGTAAAATTTTAAAGCCAGCTATCACCTGCAAATTGTAGAAAAGAAAGCAGAGTTCAAATGATAGCCTAAGTTTCCTGACTTTATCCCATTGCAGTTTAGTCTTTTGAATTGCCTTAATTTGGATTTTGCAAAAGCCTTTGGTGGCAGATTGCCAGTTTCCATTAAACTTACACAGTATTAATCTTACTTGAGAGTTTTCGGATCACTGTTAAATAACTCAGCAGACAGAGGGACATAATGCCCATCTTGTATTGTCCCGACCAGTAAGTGCACTCGAAGGCTGTTAGCAGAGAGGCTGAAAAGGAGGCTGTATAAGGAGACACAGAATCCTAAGTGCCTTCTCATGGTTAACTATATGGTTTGTACTTGTGTCATTTCGTGGACAATTGTGCTAACGGTGATCTTCTATTATTCCTCTTTATTTATAAGATGATTCAAATTAACGGTAATACCAATGTAGAAAAGGAAAGATGGCTTTGCAAAGGCAGAGGCAATTAAAATAGCCACATTTTCTGAGTACCCTTTTTTTGTCTTGCCTAAATGTTCTCACCTTTGAATAAATGTAGCAAGAACAAGGAAAAATTATCTGATGTATCTGGGATTAAACATAAGTACAATATGTTTTAACAAGTGGATTACAACCAATACAAGGCCTCTCAAATTTTCTTTTTTATTTCTGTAACAAAGCTTGGTTTGACTTCATAACAAGAGTCCACTCATTTATGAACTGTTAAGTTTAATGAATCTCCGAGTTGAATTAAATGAATATGGTCAGCCCTCCATATCCATAGGTATCACATTCATGAATTCAACCAATGAGGGATGGAAAATACTTTTTAAAAAATTGCCTTTGGAGGGGCGCGGTGGTTCACGCCTGTAAGTCCAGCACTTTGGGAGGCCGAGGCAGGCGGATCATGAGGTCAGGAGATCGAGACCATCCTGGTAACACAGTGAAACCCTGTCTCTAGTAAAAATACCAAAAATTAGCCGGGCGTGGTGGTGGGCCCCTGTAGTCCCAGCTACTCGGGAGGCTGAGGCAAGAGAATGGCGTGAACCCGGGAGGCGGAGCTTGTAGTGAGCCGAGATTGCGCCACTGCACTCCAGCCTGGGCGACAGAGCGAGACTCCGTCTCAAAATAATAATAATAATAATAATCGCGTTTGTACTGAACATCTACAGACCTCTTTCCTTGTTATGATTTCCTAAACAAAACCTCGTTACAGCCATTTACATAACATTTACATTACATTAGGTATTATAAGCAATCTAGAAATAATTTAAAGTATACCAGAGGATGTGGGTAGGTTACATGCAAATATTGCACTATTTTATATCAAGGACTTGAGCATCCATGGCATTTGGTATCTGAGGGAGGTGCTAGAACCAATCCCCCATGAATACTGAGGGTCGACTGTACTATATTTTCTGTAGCAATTTTGGAAGAAAGTGTAAACAGTGGCCTGAAGCCAAAAGATCTGCTACCATTATTGTAATCTAAACTAGACACAAACTTTAACTTCAGTTTTGAGTCAGTCAAATGGGAGGAGGTTGATTAACCATTTTCTAAATTCCCACCTGCCACAAATTAATGTCACCATGACATTATAGACTATGGTCAGGACAGGATGAAGAAGTCAAAGGAGAAAAAGAGACACTAACATTTGTCTAGAGACATTCAAATCAAGAGATTTTTATAACAAAATTTGATAATGGAATTTGAAAAACATAACAAAAGAAAGAAGTATGATGTTGCTGTTCCAACTTAATAACTTCATCTTCTCACTTCAGGATTCCACGATTACTCAAAAACACACAACTGTGATAAAGAGAAAACAGCAACCTCATACATCAGCTTACACAATGCAAGGCTTGTCAATTAACAGGTGCAAACTACAGTGGGGAAAGGTGGGTTTGGACCGTCAAGGACACCCTGTGTTCCCTTCTTTCTTTCGTATAACCTCAGTGGTACCATGAAGTAAACTCATGGAGATGGAAATGGCAAGTAGTTGTCAGCATAGGCTAAGAGATGGGGCACAGTGAAGAGGAGTCTGGATTGAAATGAGATTGAAAACAGTGATCCTTTTGGGTACATTTTCAGCACAGCACTCTGCTAATTATTCTGTTCATGTTTTGAAAGCTGCATCAGAATAAACTTCGAACAGGATAAAAAAATGTGATAATGAAATCCTGTTAGAAATTTTCAGTTGGGCCTACTGTAACCTTAATGTTCTAGATATATCTAATACTGATTTATTATGTAAGTGGAGAAAATAGAAATATGATAGAAATACGGTAGTGTGTGCTCTGAAAAATGTATAATGTCTTTTTTTCTTAATATAAAAAGCATAGTGTCAATCAATTTAGCTTTTGTATATAATATATAAAATAATACCTGGTTTATTTTAAATTTATTTTCCACGTTCATTTATTAATTTATGCATTCCAATAATTATTGAGTATCAGCTATGTGGCAGGCACCAAGTGCACTGAGATGCTGCAGTGAATAAGACCCGGTCCCCATCTCCCAGGGGTGTGCTGTAGAGTCAAATAATACTGAATTGTATGTCCTTTGTTACAATGAAAAGTGTCAGCAGCCTATGGCATAATTATAATCTGACAGAAAAACTGAGTATTATATAATCAAGCAACTTCTTTCAGTTCATATCCACTTCACAGTGCTCTGCTACTATGAAAAATTATACTCACAAATGCTCCTAGCATATTGAAAAGATAAAAATGCTTATGCTCTAAAAATTATCCCAAATAATTCCAGATATTATTTTATGTAGAATTAGAATATGAAGATATTAGCCAAGAGAATGAAAAATGAGTGTACCTGCATACAGCTGTGTGTTCTATTTTTCAGGCTTAACAGCTTAGCTGTAACATTTGTACATTAGCTAAATAACATCTCAAGGGGCGCTGGAGATAGAACCTTGATGTCTACTGATTGTACATGTGTGAGTTTGTGCTCTCAAAGGATGGTCCTTAAAAAACTCCCTGCTGGAAGCTATTGTGCATATTGTAAAAGGACCGTTGCTAAGTGCCAATTGAGCTAGTACTGTATACTTGCCATTTAAAAAGAAGATTTCATACCACTTGATTATGTTAAATAGAAATGTTTGAAATTTATACAGAATTACATCAAAATGGCACAGTAGTTATATGTCTAAAGAGCTGCAACTACTCTATCCCATAACTAATGTCAATCCTTCTGGTAGATGGTTTAATGTGAGACTGCCACAGAATGTATTACATGAGAAGTATAGAAAGCCATGGAATAGCGAGACCATAAATATATATTGTAATAGAACCTAAAACCATGTTTGTATTGAAATACAACTGCATATATATGTATACACACACATACACCAGCATACACACACACACACACACCAGCTTTTATATATATATCTATTATTTATATATATATTATATATAAATATATTAATATATATTATATATATTATTTATATATTATATATATATTATTTATATATATATCTAAGTCATATCTAAATCAATCAAGTAAGTTTTTTTGTGTGCTTTCTAGAGTCAAAATATCATATAATTATTGGTGCTTTCTGTATAGGGTTCTTGTGTGATAACAACACGTGTTACTTTTAACAAATTATTCCGTAAGTATCTTTTAACAAATTATTCTGTAAGTATCATCTCTTCAGAGACTTCTCATTTTCTGTCCAAAATAGGGGAGCAGGCAAATTCTTGTAGTCTTCTTCATCAACCAATTATATTTTCAGTGGATATGTGGTCTATGTCCCCTAGTTGTAAAATATACATGTCAAAGATGCAATAATAAGTTACCTTATGTTGTAAAAACATGAAACTGGGAAGGAAATAGATAAAAGCCCATGGCTATACCTTCCTTTCCTCCAAAGTTTCCATTAAAATAACATAACACAACATGAACTTTTTTAGGGAATGAAACTAGGATGCACATAGGAAATAAAAAAGAAGGCAGCTATGGGCCAGAAAGTTTAAGAAAAGCTTGGAAGATAGATTGTAAATGAGGGGGGAAAATAAGAAGAAATGGTACTGTTCAAAACCCCAAGGATGGGTATGGACTTCTCAAGAGTCTAGGAGAAATGCTAAACCTAGAGTCAGCGAAAGATTTTTATGGCATGTGAATTATACCTCAGTAAAATAGTTTAAATTGTTGTGGTTTTTTTTTTTTTCCAGAGGAAAAAAAAAGAACATTAGTGGGCAATGGGGCAGCCATCAGGGCATGGGACCAGCAAGATCCTTTGATCCCATCCCCTCCTTATAGGTTAATATTCAGGAGAAGGTCCACTTTCATAAGCACTCTTGTAAAAACTAAAACTAATAAGTAAAAAAATCAAAATGAGCTGAGAAGGGAGACCTCCTTATTAGAGGAGGTGATTAGAGTGGGGAAAGAAAGTGGACAGTTTCACTTAGATCCTTACTACCTCCATGAAGAATTGGGAGGGGAGAAGAGGGAGCATCTATCTGTCCAAGAAGCAAAAGCACCTCCACCTACATGGGAAACCTTACCAAATGTTGGCTTTGGGATGGATCCCCACCTGCTAACCCGCCCAACTCTCATAAATCCCAAGCAAAGCCTACTGACTGGCCCAGTTTGTACAATAACACAGACATTACAGCCAGCATGCCTCCTCCTCCCTTCCCTGCTCCCAACTTCCATTCAAAGGAACAGGTGTTTTAGAGAACTGACTGCTCATCTTTGGGGGAATGAATGCCAGCTAATTATACTAATCAACCTGGTTCTTCATCTACAAATATGAATCTACAACTATGCATCAGCAGACATTTAGCTTGAAAGGGAAGGATCACTAACAACAAATAGAGGTATTACTGGGAATTCGTATCCTTAGATTTGAGAAAGTGTTCCACAAGCTGCTATAATAAAAGTGTTAATCAGGGGACAAAATTAGTCTCTGAGAATTTAAAATATGATTGCAAAATGAAAAAAGAAAAATCAACAAACTACTGAATAACCAACCTAATGAAAAAAATTTCTAAAAAAAGTGATTTGAGTAAGAAACTTAAAGAAATGCTTTAGAGTTGGAGCAAAAGTCAAATAAAAAAATATGAGATAAATGTTAAAAGATTTGGAGGTTTTATCCAGAAGATCCAAAATTCAGCATAAGTTTTCAAAGTAGAGGACAGAGATAAGGAATGGGTGAGGAACATAGAATAGAAGAACAAAATTGTCATCACATCTCACAACCACTAGAATGGCAAAAACTGAATTTGGTAACAGTGTGGGCAAAGATATAGGAAGGAGGCAATCCCAGAAACTATAAGGGAGAAGGTAATCTGTGCAATTTCTTTGAAAAGATCTTAATTTACCCTTTAATCCAGTGTTTTGCTTTTAAGAATTTTTTTATGGATAGTTTGTCTAAGTGAGCAAGGATATATTTTCCAGTATTCATTTTGGTATGATTTTAATAACTAAAACTTGAAACAATATCTATCTATAGTTGCAGCATATTTATATGGTCATTTAAATATAAAGAAGTTAGTTATATGTTCATACAAATAAACATCAGATATACAGAGTTAAATGCCAACCAAAAAAATTTAAGGAAAAAATTTACAATTTTTACAGCTAAACCTGTAGATTCTTTCCTGTGACTATATATTTCTTAGAAAAGTCTGGATTGCAGAATTCAAATTACAATGTTGCCTTCAATTAGATATCTTCAAAATCACAATATTCTCAAAGGTTGAGAAAAATCATTGAGTTACATACTAATTCAATGTATAAGTAATTTTAAATAAACACAGTGACTCAAAAATAAAGCATTAGAATTGATCAAAAGAGGAAATTCATACATTTTCTTCCAGAAAAGAGAGTGTATATTCCTGGCTTATTCACAACTCTGCATCAGTTATATAGTGAACATAAAATATCTCTATGTATTTTCTGAGTTAGTCATATGTAAATCAAGGAAGACACCTGGTAGAAGAGGAGATAGCTGTTTTTAAAGTCATTTAAGAAATCTTAAATGGTTAATAACATATCAGATTCATCAAAAAAAAGACAGAAAACTCTCTATTTACTTTATAGATTTTCCAAGCTATTAGTCATTTTGTCCCTTCAACTACTCACTTGTGGTCACTTTATTCTAAATCATCAGAAAAAAAAATTGTTTAAGTTTGAAACTCAAACATGTTACTTTTTCTAGTTGCTATTTACTCAAGATAAAACAGGTTGTTAGAAGAGAATATTGAGCCTGAGATAACATATATGCATAGATATTTACTTAATAGAGGAATTAATATAGAGTAACACATTAAATCATAATAGAGAGTGGTTAAAAGGATTAAACCTAAGTCTTCTGAAATCTAGGGTTTTGGACATTTTGTTAGTTCCCAAGTTCTGTACCTTGAATCACAAATATTCCAAACATACCAATGTATATTAATTATGCTACTACTGAACAGTTTCTGTTCTGGCTAATTGAATGGCCTTTTTTTTTTTTTTTTTGATGGAATCTTAATCTGTAGCGCAGGCTGGAGTGCAGTAGTGCAATCTCGGTTCACTGCAACCTCTGCCTCCTGGGATCAAGTGATTCTTCTGTCTCAGCCTCCCGAATAGCTGGGATTACAGATGTGAGCCACCACGCCTGGCTAATTTTTGTATTTTTAGTAGAGACGGGGTTTCACCATGTTGGCTAGGCTGGTCTCGAACTCCTGGCTCAAGTGACCTGCCCACCTTGGCCTCCCAAAGTGCTGTGATTACAGGCATGGGCCTCTGCACCTGGCCAACCGAATGCTCTAATGGATTCTTCCACTGTAAAGCAACTATATTACGCGTAAGGTATTCTAGGACATATGGCTAGATTTTTAAGATGTGGAGAATGTTTTCAGGACCTCCCTGGCCCTCTCATACACATGTACACACTAACAGTGATCTGGAACCATATTGATGGATTGGAGCTGAGGCTATAAAGATGGACATTGCTATTAAGACAGTGGGTCTCCTCTGGTGCAGTGAAGAAGTTGGGGCATGTATTCCCTTGCAAAATATGGAGAGAACTGAAGTGATTCCAAATGGGTATCTCTCCCAGTCACCCACAAAAGAAAATACTTTTTGGAGGAAAGTTCTTAAAATTTAGGCCCACAGGGCAGATAAACATTGAGTAATACGCTTACTAATGAAGATCATCAAGCACATAAGGAGGCCAACTATAATATGAAATGGTTTAAAAAAATAAACAAAAGTTTTAGACACTAAGGAATACTAATATTGGAATTATCAGGGAACTTATATAATTACATATGAAATGATTAAAGAAACAAAAAAATGCGCTAACAAAGATGAGCATGAAACAAGACCTATCAGGACTTAAAGTGATAGATTCCAAAACAAACAAACAAACAAAAAGATTATACCTAGAAAATGAAAAACTTTAAACAGCAGATAAAACAGCAGATATATATATATATATATATATATATATATATATATATATATATGAACTTAGAATAAAGCTCAACCTTAGATGGACGTCTGTGGATTTAGAAACAGTATGCTCCACAACTAAGAATGTAAAGCTCCTATACCAAATCACCAAATAAGCTGTCAAATTTGAGAGGAGATCCCTACAAGAAGAAACCCTGGAAGAAGTTTAGGTAAAAATAAAGCAGCCCCTGCATTGGAGCTCCTTCTCTCCTTCTGTACCCCATGAAATTATAGGTGGCTTACAGCAATCTCACAAGTTACAGAAGCCTTTGGCAATTAGACTGTATTAGTTATCCTTGGCATCTGGGCTGATCAGCAACCTCGCTTATCTGACTCTGACCTGACAGTCTCTTTCCATAGTGACCTGACAGTCTCTTTCCATAGTGGGTGCTCTTTGCACTAAACATCCATTAGATGAGATAAGCCTCCCAAATTTTGCATTGTGTAATAGAAAAATAAAGCATCACTAATATCTTAGCAAATTATATGCACAGACCCTTATTCCCATAGATAACCTCCCTTACTCCTTTCCCACCTTCTGGCTTACTGGGAGCCTATAAGACTTGCTATGACTGAAAGAGTGTCTCTTCGACATGGGAAAATCTCAAGGAATGCCATATGCCATACATATAATAAACTACTGATATCTTACAGCAGTCGACGTTTTTCACAGTAGGCTAATTTCAGGTAGTTGTCCTGGCCATAGAGCATCATCCCAATATTGATAAAAAATAGATGCTTTTGTGCAAATTAATAGGGCACATAAATGGCTTAGATATTTGTTCAGGACAGTGGACCACTTAAGCTATACTGGCAAAGCAACAACAATATGGAACAAATTTTATGAAATGATACAAGTTAATCACATACCCAGTATACTTGTTATATGAATATATGCCTATTTGAAATTATTACATCTCAAGGAAAACATTGGGACTGAAGTAGTCAATTAAGCACAGGCAGCTGTCTCTTCTATAACCTACTGGATTCATACTTAAACCCACCACGGCAGTAGAACCACTACTGAAGACGAGGTTGTCCCCCCAGAAAATTCTGACATCCATAGAACCCACTGTTGTCCCCCCAAAAAATCTCTATTATTTGTCAACTGTGGCAGGCTTTCCAATGATATCTCCAACAGGGCTGGCACATCTAGCTGTCTTCAGCTATTTAAAGGTTGCACATGACCTATTTGTGCATTTGCTGAACTCCAAATCACCCAAAAGCTGGCAGAAAGGGACATGGAAGAATCCCAGGAGAGTTTGTGGAAGTGTAGCACATTTGTCTATCTTTTCCTGAAGGGTATCCTTTTGAAAGGAAAAATAATATTTTCCTGTTGATTTCTGTTTTGCTTTATTTAATACCTGTTTGTTTGTTTGTTGTTTGTTTCCTTGCAGAATACCTGAATATGAATGAGCTTGAACACTGACTTTGCTTTAGGTGGTTACTTTCTTCTGTTTTTGGAGGTTGCTTATAATGCCAAAATCTGACTCCTGCGTTCTGGTGGAACTTAGCATGCTGCATAAAGGACAGCCAGTCTGGCTCATTTCCACCACCTTCTGCAAAGAATGGTGATGATTTTGTAAAGTTGAACATTTTCATATTTTGTTATATCTCAGTACATACATCATCACCTGCATATTTAGGTACATATTCTTGCACAGGTACACCAAAAAACAGATACAAGAATATTTTATATGAATATTATTCTTAATATCAAAATGAGGAAATGATACAAATGTAAGTAAATAGGAGACTAAATAAATAAATTAAAATATATTTATAATGGAATTTTACACAGCAGTGAAAAGAAATGCTCTGCAGCTACATGTTACATCTAAACATAAAAATTACTCTTAAGAATATAACATTGAAAAATAAAATTTATAAAGTCACAAGTCCCATAATACCACATATAATGTTTTCATGAATCTCAAAAACAAACAAAATTAGCCAGTGTATTGTTTATTCACCAGTCGTCTGTGATAAAAGCCATTTTTTAAAAAGCAAAGTAATGATACAGGAAAAATTCAGGATGGAGTTATTTACTTCTGGGGGAGAGGTAGGGAGGGGTATAGGGAAGAGCATATAGCTGCATGCAAAGTTATTGGTAAATTTGTCATTCATGGGTTGTGCAGTAGGTTCACAGGTATTTTATTTATTATTCTATATATACATATATATTTATTATTTTTGTATACATATATGATGTATACAATATATTATTGTATTTATATATGTTATATATGTAAATTTGCAGCATGTACTTGTTTGAAAATGTCAAATATTATATTTAAAGATAATAAAATAGGTTCAACATTGTTTAAATAGTTCTTTTGTAAAATATGTTGGGGACAACTAAGTTAAATAATAAATAGGGATAATTAAAGCTGAACTCCTCAGTGATTTCAAAATAATATTAGTCAATGTGAACTTCCAAATGGGGGCATATTTCTCACCTTTTAGGGGAACAGATATCATCGGTAATTAAGAATGTCCTTATCTCTCCGAATTCTTCTACCACCAACCCACCATTTTATCTAGAAGTATACCATTAATTATACCTTAATTCATAAAATAGCCATTGGTCTACTGACAAATTATAAATATCCTTGGGTGAGATAACATATTAATCAACAAACTTATGATACACAAGAGTTTAGCTGGCAATAGTAGGTTACTTTTGAAAGTAGAAAGTATTGAGAAAATGGACAAAAGGGCAGGTCAGTTTAATTTTGATAAGAAGAGAGGAAGACTCGGACTGGGGAATGGAGAAGCTAGTAGTACTTGTGGGCCTGTGTGACTGCAGGTCTATGGGCAGTCAGTGTGAGTTCAGGACATTTTCTGAAAAGAGAGGAGCAACAAGAGGGAAAAGAGGGCAGAGTGGGTTTCTATGGATTACTCAGTATCTGCCACCATCTCCTTTCTGCACATGGTTCTTGTTTTTTAATGCCTTATTTCTTGTTTTTTCATTTCTGGCTGCTGCATCTCAGCCATGCTTGAAGGAGGTGTGTTGTAGTAGATACTGTCAGTTTCCGTCAGATTACTTCAGCCCAGGGTTTGCCTGCAGCTTTGATGCACAGTTATTGCATACATCAATGTCTTCCTACCTTAAGCAACAGTGTCTCTTTCTGCCTGAGCTCATGTTCACTTGGAGTACAGGGCAGGCCCAAAGTGTCTCGTTTTTAAAGTGTACAAGAGCCACCATCAGCCAAAGGGAGAAGGGAGGTGGCTAAGTATCCCAGCAATCTTCTACCTAGGAGGTGTGCTTCCATTGTGTCTCTGAAGATTCCCAGGAGGATTGAAGTCCTGTTGCCTACAGTGATAACCTACCCATTAACACACCCTCTTTATGGCCCTCTTTCCTTTCTTTCTCACTTCTTTATTCTTTCACTCTGCTTCCTGGGATCACCTCCCAATTCACTTGCACCTGAATCCTTGTCTCAGGGTCAGCTTTTAGAGGATGGTAAATTGACACGAATGCATTCAGATTTTTAAAAACATTTTATCTTCTCTTTCTAGTTTGTTAGGTAGCATTTCTTATGGATTAAAAAAAAAGTGGGACTAGCTGGAGTGAGTGTTAGATGCTGCAGCATTGTAAGTGTGGTGTGTTATTGTGGTACCCATGCTGCAATATATTTACATAAAGTTATTTAATGAATACTGTCTCTCTCACTCCTTCTACCACCAGGGCTTACCATATTGCACAAGATAAAGTTATTTCTGCTGCAGGCAGGTTACTTATCATTAAGCCTCAACTGTCAAATTCAATACAGAAAAATCTAGAAGCCAGTCCCTGAGTGACCGTTTTGAAGCTGTGTTACATGGGAAGATGGTGTGAAAGTATGAAAATGAGAAGGAAAGGGAGGATCATGCCTTTCTAATCAAGAGCTGATGCTTTCCTGCATTGTCACTTTCTCCACATGTCAGTAGAGGACGGTTTTTCTAATCACCCATGATCTTTGAAAAGTTCAACAGGCAATTCTATGTTGTATTTCAAGAATGTGGAGTGCCAGTGCCTCACATCAGAACCAGACTTGTGGATAACCAATTACACTTTGCTAAGTTGGTCTGATCCGTAACTAAATATATGTCTAGGGCACTGTGAAATTTAATAGTAAAGTATTGGCTTAGTCCTTTGGATATTTTATTTCAGTAGATGCAAAATGCTACAATGGTACTTGAGACAAGAATACAACATGCAACTCTATTGTTCTCTGCCCTATGAAGACTGTTTTGTCAGTGGCCCAGGCTAGGAACCCATGATGATTCAAATATATACTTATGTTTGCAAAGGATCCAGGAGCCCCTGACCTGTCAGTTCTGAGTAAATAGCTCTTGGCAATCAGAAAATATATCAAAAAGTAACCTGAATTATCTCAAGCTCACTTAAACTAGTAGAGAATCCATACTGAGTACACTGAGTTTTCAAAGCGGTGATAGGGAAATCATAGAACAATGCTTCCTTCTGACCTTTCAGCAAAGTCAGGTCACTCATACTGTCGAGGATCTATAGTACTGGAATGCAGAGGAATAAGAAACCTGCCCTTCTGAAAAAGTGTGGCATCTATATTTGAAAAGGTCGGAGGAAGATCTGAATAAAGATCAACTGAAGCCTTGAGCATCTTTCCTTGACCTGCCCTGAAGAAGAGAAGCAGTACCAATAAATGTGGTTTTCTTGATAACTTAGACAAGGATCTCAATAAACATCTCAGAACGATGCTTTCTTTTATGTATACTGAAAATGGGAAACTGGTGTAGTTCAGGGCTACACTAAAACACAGAAGGATGTGGCCTAGGAGATCTTATGATTGAATAGTTATTCTAATGTGAGACAGCTCTAAGGTCTTAAGTGAAAATTGAAGTGGTCCAGTTAGCAACAATTTCTATACAATATTGCAAGAGAAATAGCTTTGATGTTAATTTAAATGCTGGGACCAACCACAGTCAAAGTTTTACTTCTGATCACTTTTCTTCCTTTATGGTCAATGATGTACTGGAGCCAGCTCATATTGGTTAGGGAGAACTGATCAAGCACGTCTCTTCCAAACTATATTCCAAGACGTCACATGGATATCTTGAAATGGTCTATAGTTCATATACCATAAAAACAGGAAACGGGCAAATGTTATAAATCAGAACTCCCTCTTGCCCTAGACTGTTGTTAAATATTGGTAAGTATCTACCCACTTATATTGAAATATGAAATAAAAACAAACAGAAATCCCTGGCTTCTTGCCTTTTGCCAGATAATTCATCTCACACAGATACTTTAGTCATGACGAGCCTTGGTCCTGGAGTGACTTTGGAATGTTCTTGTCAATGTTTTTAATCTGGTGCATGTATACATTTTTATTTTCCCAGCCTTTTTGAGGTATAATTGATAAATTAAAATTTTACATATTTAAAGTGTACAAGGTGATGTTTTGATATATGTATACATGTAAAATGCTCACTGCAGTTAAGGTAATTAACATATTCACCACTTTGCATAGTTTTTTGGGTGTATGTGTGTGGTGAGAATATTTAATACCTACTTTTTTAGCGAATTCTAAGTATACAACACAGTATTACTAATTACAGTCACTATGTTGTGCATTAGATCACAAGAACTTATTCATCCTGCAAAACTAAATTTTAAATTTAATTTTTGTGCTCTTTTGAGATCTCAGAAGAGCTTTTGCTTATGTGGGTTATATATATATATAAACAATTGTCATACTCAAATCAAAACTGAAAAAAAAAGTTTGAGAACAGCTGATTTGAGTGAACTATGCTTTCTTTGTTTTCTCTTACGATTTGGAAGTTATACACTTGTTTTTATTTTTACAAATGTTTACCTTTAAGGAAAAAGAACAAATACACATACTAGTTATAAACATCATGATTAAGTCATACCTATTGATATAACTGAAATGAATGTTACAGTATTAAGTTGATAAATTTAATTCTCATTCATCCCTTTACTTATTTTTGGAAGTTCAGATTCAAGGTATAATCATTGTTTATTTTAATATTATCCATCTACTTTCTCAAGTCCTGTTTTTAACACAGCTATATTTTTGTATGCATTATTTTATAATACATTTTTATAATTACTGAATTTTATATCTTGCAATAGGAGTAAATCTTCTGAATTTTTATACTATTGAAAATTTCTTTGATTTGTCTTCTTATATGAACTACAGTATGATTGGGTATAGAATTATTAGCTTATATAGTATATTTTTTGCTCCACAAAACCCTGAATAAAATGTTCTATGTCTTCTGGCTGTTAATGTTGGCTGGAAGTCTGAGAAACTTTATTTTTCCTTTGGTAGTATTATGGGGCTGAATTGTGTCACTGACCCTATATTCCCCAAATTCATATGTTGAAGTCAAAACTCCCAGTACCTACGAATATGACTGTATTTGCAGATAGGGTCTTTAAGAAGTAATTAAGTTAAAATAAGATCATAAGGGTGGACCCTAATCGGTATGACTGGTATCCTCATAAAAGGAGATTAGGATACAAATCTTCTCACTCAGAGGAAAGACCATGTGAAAACACACGAAGAAGGTGGCTGTCTAAAAGGCAAGGAGAGAGGCCTCAGAAGAAACTAACCCTGCTGACACCTTAATCTTAGACTTCTAGCCTCCAAATTGTAAGGAAATAAGTTTCTGTTATTTAAACCACCCAGTCTATGGTATTTTGTTATGGTAGCCGTAGCAAACTAATACAGGTAGGGATCTTAATTTTTTTGTGTGGGGAGGTAGTTGTAAAACTCCATAATGGTATTTCAATGTAACTTTTTTCCCTCAAAGTTTGCAACATATGATTGGTTTATGTTTATCAAACTGTGTAGTATAAAACACTACTTTTGAAACATGTTAATTGGTGTCACTTAAAAAAAGGAAATTTACAGTCAAGTAATTTGGAAAACATCTAATTATAGCATAATTTTTCAGAGACCTTAATGTGCAATTTTCCGTCTTGAATATTTAAGACAGTATAATTTGTTACTGTTTTTGAAAGTAAACCACGTTTTTAATTTGAACTAGTAAACTAATATGTATTAATAATTTTAAAAATTAATTTTAATATTTGTCACAAATAAAATATTTCAATCTATAGACTGGTATATTTCTCCAGATAATAAATGTTATTCTTTTCCCCACTCCCCTTGGTCAATTTAGAAGGAAGATTATTGGCTCTTATCCCAGTTGGTCGAATCCCTTTTTCCAATCTAATCTAACCCCTTTTTCTAAACTACCAATTGGCCATGGATGGAATTTAATTCTTTTCTATTTCACACTTCTAGTCTTCTCTCTTGTCTTTTCTTCTTTTTGTCTTTATGTTCTGTGTTCTGGAAGAATTTCTCAAGATTTCCTTAATCATCGACTTCATTTCAGGTAGTGTTGACTTTGCTTCCTTTATTTCTAAAGCCGATATGTGTTTAGATATTTTATTTTTAGTTTTTTTTTTTACAATAATCCCTTGTTTCATCCTGCTCTCTTTTACACATGTGAGCTATTCATTTAGCATCTATTTCATCTGAGAATATTTTGTCTGATTTAATATTTCATTTTCTCTTTCAGTGATCATGTTCCTCCATTTAATAATGAGTACAAGATCTGCTTCCCCTAAAACGCTTCTGTTTGCCTCAGCAAATCTCCCAAAAGTATCTTTTTGCTTTCCTGTTGAGTTACTGTATTTTTCATCTTAGTTTATGACGTGGATTCTTTCGATAGGTTTTCTGGTGAGTGTTTACATTTCTGTCCTGTGTGTATTTGTGTGAAAAATAATGCACACATGTTTCTCACACTCATTGATAAGACTATTCAGGATAGTTTGCCAGTATTCATGCTGAGAGGTTTTTTGTTTGTTTGTTTGTTTTTGTTTTTGTTTTTGTTTTCCCTCTGATACAATTTGGATGTTTATCCCCTCCAAATCTCATGTTGTAATCTAATCCCCAGTGTTGGAGGTGGGGCCTTATGAGGTGTTTGGATCATGGTGGCAGATCCCTCATGAATGGCTTTGCACTGTCCCCTTGGTGATGAGATCTGGATGTGTAAAATTGTGTGACATCTCCCCCCAGCTCTCTTGTTCCTGCTCTCACCAAACAATGCACTGGCTCCCCTTGACCTTCCACAGTGATTATAAGTTCCCTAAGTTCCCTGAGGCCCTGACCAGAAGCAGATGCCAGCCCCATACTTTCTGTAGAGCCTGCAGAACCATGAGCCATTAACCCATTTATGCCTGAGATTGCAGTTTTTTGAATTTTTGCAATCAGACCTTGGCGATGACCTTGAGCAGTAGGATATAAATAACTACCACATGCTTGCACTCCAATAATGGAACATGAGGCACAAATGGGCAAACCTCTTTTCTTGGCCAGGCGCCTTGGCTCACGCCTATAATCCCAGCATTTTGGGAGGCTGAGGCTAGCAGATCACTTGAAGTCAGGAGTTCGAGACCAGCCTGGCCAACATGGTGAAACCCCGTCTCTACTAAAAATACAAAAATTGGCCAGGCGTGGTGGCATGTGCCTGTAGTCCCAGCTACTCAGGAGGCTGAGGCAGGAGA